>NC_000006.12:92303893-92454831 GCF_000001405.40 Homo sapiens | reverse complement strand
GGGTCTATACCTCCATAAACATGACCTGCTTAAACTTGGCTATAAAGACTTATCTTGATAGGATTTTTTCTTAATTTGTCACAATAAAACACTGGAGTTTAAAACTAGAAGAACTTTTGCTGCTATGTTGTCATGTTATTAAGATTAGACAGCTACATACCAGAAATATTGAGATTTATAAAATAGTAATAGAATAATGTTTGATAAGATCACACTTAAATTTTGTTAAATTCTGATTTATGTAATAAAAAATAAGCCAGTTTAACCTCATTAAGATGAAAGAAGATAAAAGCTAACAAACCCTTTTCCTTCAAGAAAAGTAATAAACACATTTATCAATTAGGAGTGAATAGTGCTTTAAACATTTATTTGTGAGGCATTTGTTTGGAATTTAGAGTGTGTTTTCTTAGACACATTGGATTTAACATGTTCAAGTTTATAGGGGAGCCAAGAAGTCTCTGAAATCTATGACATACCTGGAGATAGGATACAGCCCAATACAGGGCTTTGTCTAAGGTTAAGGATCTTGCAACTTCTGTTGTAAAACTCATACATCTAAGAGTTCGTATCGAATCTCATTAATGTCCTCTTCCCTCTCTCCCTTCCTTTTTCTTTTTTCCTATAGATAACATTTTAAATTGAATAATTTTTATTGATTTACCCTATAATTTCCAAAATGCTTCCCCCCATTTTATTACCCCTCAGTTAAATAATACCTCCACACACATGACCTTAAAGTTTTTCTTAATTGATTATCAAATTATTTATTTCAAAAACTACTCATATGCCGGAAGAATTATCATTTGATCAAATTTCAGTGACTCAGTTTACAAAGGGAAGAAGCTTTATGAAATGCAAAGATGATCCATTGGTTTATCTAGTCATTTTCTCCAAAATGTGGATACTCAACGTTAGATGTTAATAAATTTTGAGAAGTACATATATAAACAATGCCCAGTATGATGTCAATCATGCAGGAATATTACTTGTGTCCTTCTTGGGTGTTTGGATCTCGCTGCCATTTTAATACAGAATCAGTGCTAATCTTGCATCCTTTTTCAGAGAATATCCTATGGAGTCTTAGTTCCTGAAGAAGGTCACTCAGGATGAATTAGAATATTAATGAGGTTGTACAGTCACAAGATGGGGTTGATACAGGACTTACCTACTTTTAGGTTTTATGTTTTTCATGTGTGTTAAGAGGTGGATGTTAAGACAGCAGTCAATAAAACTTGGCAAATAAGGTGACCTACTTGAAATAAAGCAGAACTTTGCCAATGATATAACTTGAAAGCCCAAGCCACCTGATGCCACATCAATTTTTTTTCTATAATTACCAATTGAAATGTCAAAAGACAAAATTTCAATAAATTTAGCTTAACGATTGAATTGGCTTTTATCAGCAGTTTATGAATCAGGGAACATCTCATCTAAGGGCTTAGAAAAGGTACTCCAATGAGGTAAGCAGAAGAGTCTGACATATAGGCAGAAAAAGACTGAAGAAAGCTGAAACGGAACAGAGGCCAACTGGTAAATATCAGGTTACTTTCTTTGTAGAGGTTTAAGCAGAGAGGACTTTCTTAATGGAGGCTAGAGCTGGCCTGTTTGGGATGTAGCTGTTATCTCTCTCCTGATTTCTCAAAAGATTAGATAAACAACTTAGTTCTAGTTTGGTGATGTGGAATTATAATAAAATTGAATGTTAGCAAATGTTAGGTTCATTTGGTCTAAAGTTCAATTTAAGTCTAATGTTTCTTGGTTGATTTTCTGTGTTGATGATCTGTCTATTGCTGTGAGTGGGAGTGTTGTAGTCCCCCACTGTTATTGTATTGTTGTCTATTTCTTTAGTTCTAGTTATATTTGTTTTATGAATCCAGGTGCTCCAGTGTTGGGTGCATATATATTTACAATTTTTATATTCTCTTGCTGATTTGATTTCTTTATTGGTATATAATAAATGGCCAGGCATAGTGGCTCATGCTTATAATCCTAGCACTTTGGGAGGCAGGTGGATTGCCTGACCCTAGGAGTTTGAGACCAGCCTGGGCAACATGGCAGAATGCCATCTCTAAAAAAATTACCAAAATCAGCTGGGTGTAGTGGTGGAGGCCTGTATTAACAGCTACTCAGGAGGCTGAAGTGGGAGGATTACTTGAGCCCAGGAGGTCGAGACTGCAGTGAGCCATGATCATGCTACTGCACTCTAGCTGGGGTGACAGAACAAGACCCTGACTCAATCAATCAATCAATGAACGATATATAATAACCTTTTTTGTCTTTTAAAAATATTTGTAACTTAAAGTTTGATTTATCTGATATAAATATAGCCACTTGTATTAGTTCATTCTCATGTTGCTAATAAAGACATAACCAGGTGATAAAGGAAAGAGGTTTAATTGACTCACAGTTCTGCATTGCTGAGGAGGACTCAGGAAACTTACAATCATGGCAGAAGGCACCACTTCGCAGGGCAGCAGGAGAGAGAATGAATGCTGACTAAAGTGGGAAGCTCCTTATAAAACCATCAGATTGCATGTGAACTCACTATCACAAGAACAGCATGGAGAAAACCACCTCCCATCATTCAGTTTTCTCCACCTGGTCTCACCCTTGACATGTGGGGATTATTAAAATTCATGGTGATATTTGGGTGGGGACACAGAGCCAAACCATATCATTACTCCTATTAGCTGTTGGTTTTGCAGTGATTCATTTGCAATGAATATCTTTTTCCACTCTTTTACTTTGTCTGTGTGTGTATTTTACACATAAGGTAGTTGCTTCTAAGTAGCATATAGTTGGATCATGCTTTTTAAAATTCATTCTGCCAATCTATACCTTTTAAGTGGAACATTTAATCTATTTAAATACAGGATTAATATTAATATGTGAGGTTTTGTTCTGGTCATATTATTAATTGTTTTCTAGTTGTTTTATAAGTTATTTCTTTCTTTTTCTCTGTTTGACTTTCTGGTTTGGTGAAATTCTGTCATGTTGACACTTGATTTCTTTTTCTTCCTTATTTGTGTGATTTTTTTTTATAAGGCCTGTGATTTATATTATTTTCTGTGGTTTCATGATGATGAATATTGAACTTTTGTTTTCCTATTTAGGACTCCTTTGAACATTTCTTTTAGAGACAGTCTAGTGGTGACAATTCACTCAGCATTTGCTTCTGTGTGAAATATTTTATTTCTCCTTTATTTATAAAGCTTAATTTTGCTGGATATAAAATACTTGGCTTTTATTTCTTCCAGCAATTTGAAAGTACCCTCCCATTTTCTTTGCCCTCTTAAGTTTTCTCCTGAGCACTCCACTGTTTGTCTGATACAGTTTTCTTTATAGGTGACTAGATATTTTTCTCACTGATTTATTTATTTTTTCTTCATTTTGGCCTTAGACATTCTGATAATAATGTGTCATGGTGAAATCCTTTTTGCAATGTATTTACCAAAGATCACTGGACCTCATGTATGCGGGTGTCTATATCTCTTGCTAGATTTGGGAAGTTTTCATCAATTATTTTCTTAAATAAGTTTTTTAAGTTTTTTTGACATTTGTTCCTTCTTAGGATTACCTATAATTTGCAAATTCAGCTGCTTTATGTAATTCCAAACATCTAGAAGGCCATGTTTATTATTTTTATTTTTTGTTGTTATATTTGTCTGAATAGACTATTTTAAAAGGTCTGTCTTCAAATTCTGAGATTCTTTCTTCTGGTTGGCCTGGTCTATTACAGAAATTTTTAAATGTATTTTATAATGTCTTCAATTAATTTTTCAGTTTGAGAATTTCTGTTGTTCATGTGTTTGTTTTTTAAGATACCTATTCCCTTATTAAATTTCTCATTCATATCCTGACTTCATTTTCTGATTTCTTTGTGTTGGTTTTCATATTTTTCTTGGGTGTCATTGAACTTCTTTAGAATAAATATTTTGAATTATTTATCTGGCATCTCAAGAATTTCTTTTTGGCTAGAATCTATTTTTGCAGAATTATTATGTTCATTCGAGGGTGTCTTAGTACCCTGCTTTTTCATGCTTTCTATATTTTCATGTTGATTTCTGCATATCTCAACCAACAGTCACTTCTTATTTTTGAATTTACTTTCATTGGGGGAGAACTTTTTTCTTGAAGATATGATGATGATGAATATTGGATAGGGTCATTTGATTTTGCTTCTGGATATTTGCAGTGACAAAGACTCTATGATTTCCTTGGCTATAAGTACTTTAGTGTCCTGGTTTTCTCAAATACTAGTTGTAGTTGTCATGTACAACTACGTGGGTGGGTGATTGGACTCATGACCTTCTGGGCAGCCAGGGTAGCAGGGAGATCGGGGTAGCGGTAGTCACAGAAGCTTTTGTCAATCCTGAGCACTGTGCTATTTTAGCAGTTGCTGCAATGTGCTATGTGGGCTGGCCTCCAGGCCAGTACGTGGTGCTTAGAGGTAAAAGACAGCTGTGGTAGTAGTGGTAGGATTTATGTTTGACCTGTGTTCTCTGGAAGTGCTCACGTGTCCTAGGCAGTGGATTGAAACTTGGACCCTTCAGGGACATAGATTTCACACTCTTTCTCGGAGGGGTGGGTGAAGTTGGACTGGGCAATCCTGCACTCAGGTCCCCCAGTGTCACATACTTTCACCATCCCAGACAGGGTTGGCAGGGAAGTCCTCAGGCCCCTTGTAAAAAGCCTGGGTGATGGATCACGAGGTCAGGAGATCAAGACCTGGCCAACATGGTGAAACCCCATATCTACTAAAAATACAAAAATTAGCCGGGCGTGGTGGTGCACACCTGTAATCCCAGCTATTTGGGAGGCTGAGGCAAGATAATTGCTTGAACCAGTGAGCTGAGATCACACCACTGCACTACAGTCTGGGTGCCAGGGCGACACTCTATCTCAAACATAAATAAATTTCAAAAAAAAAAAAAAAAAGCCTGGGTGAGGGCTCACTACTGCTGTGCCAAGGTCTCACCACAGAGAAGGAGAGTTCATTCCATGTCCACAGTGTTGGACAGCAGTAGTGGAATCTGCTTCCCTCTCATGCTTCAGTCCTGGCAGAACTCACTCCCCTGTCCTAACTGTGTCAGCCCATGTAGCTCTTCAGTTACTTACTGCATTTTGCTTTTAGTCTGCAACACAGACTCAGGCTATAGGAGCCACTGCCCAGCTTGATACCAAGCCTCTCTGGCAACTCTCCTCCTGTTCATGTCCCACGTGGTGGGCCAGGACCTGGAGCCCTTACCACACTTATTTCTCAGTTCTGACTGTGGACGCTCCTCCCTCAATCAAGCTCCAGTTTCTGAAGTCCAAGCCTGAGCTTCTCTAAAGTTGAAGACTGCTGCAGCTGCAAGCTCCCAGGACCATGACCATGCACAGCTTGCTAAGAGTTAGGATCAAGAATGGCATCCTACCATAGGGATCCAGGTTTGTGGGAATATGTGAGACATTTCCTGGAACAGTTCCTCCTCACAGTCTCCCCACCACTTCCCAAGTTATACTCAGGGTTTGGTAGAGCCAATTTGGTTCCCATGGCTTGGCTTGCATGATTCCCCAATGTAAAAATGAACCGTATGAAGAAACTCACTCACTCTTTTCCATGTTGGGGATTAGCTCCTAGTTTTGGCCACTCCTAGCCATGTGGGCTGCTTATCCTCCATCTTCTTCCCAGATTGTGGAGCTTCATCTCACTATTCTGTTGAACTCCCATGTTTCCTCTTAGATAATATGTTCAAAGTGTGATTGTCCATACACTATTTTGGTTCTTCTCAGTGCATATGGCATGCTGAAAATGCCTCTAATCAGGCATTTTGGGAAACAAAACAGAATAAAACAAAATCCAATGTATTTTGAAAATCTCGGATATTCTACTATACATTTCTAAAGTTCAACTTCGATTCGGGTTTTGTTTTTTCTTGAGACAGAGCCTTAATCTGTTGCCGAGACTGGAGTGCAGTGGCACGATCTCGGCTCACTGCAACCTCTGCTACCCGGGTTCAAGCAATTATCCTGCCTCAGCGTCCTGAGTGGCTGGCATTACAGGCGTGCACCAGCATGCCTTGCTAATTGTTGTATTTTTTTCTGTAGATACAGAGTTTCATCATGTTGGCCAGGCTAGTCTCGAACTCCCGACCTCAAGTGATCTGTCCCCTCAGCCTCCCATAATGCTGGGATTACAGGCATGAGCCGCTGCACCTGGCCCAATTTTTTTTTATTATATCTTTCATGTCTTTTTTTTGAAAATAAAGGATATATACTTGTATTTAATACATATTAAACCATTGGTGATTACTATCTTAATATTCACTAATTCCAATATTTATGTCAGTTCTGGGTTTGTATCAAGAGATTGATTTATTTTCACATTGTGGATTATATTTTTCTGTGTCTTTGCATGTCTGCCATTTTTCAAATTAGATGCCTGACATTGTGAATTTTGTGATAGATATTTAGATTATCTAAATATGTGATAGATTTTTTTTTGTTATCCTATAAATATTCTTGAACTTTGCTCTGGGTCACAATTAAATTACTTAGAAAACGTTTGATCTTTTCAGATCCCAGTTTTAAGATTTTTTATGTAAGTCAGAGCAGTGTTGAGTCTAGGGCTAATGATTCCCTACTATGGAAGCAAGAGTCCTCTGACTATTCTACCCAAAGCTCTGGGAATTACGATTTTTCTGTCTTGCTGGTGGGGTCAGACACTATTCCCAACCCTGTGTATGTATCAGGTACCATTTTTCCTAACCCTTTGTGTGGTTGTTTTTCCCACTTTTGGTATTTTCGTAACCCTCAGCTGTGAAGTAAACTCAATTCTTGGCTGAATGCTTGAAAGTTACATAAGCAGATCTCCAGTGTTACCTCTGTGAAATTACCACCTCCATATTTGAACAGCTTTAATCTCTCTAGATGCTCAGCTTCACCTCCTCAATTCAGAGTCTGTTGGACTTCTCTGTACTGCAGCCTAAAAATTCTTCTCGTCATATTAAATGTTCTAATTATTGAGAGCTTAACTATTTTATTTCCCATCTCTCAGAGACATATTCAATGTTTTAAAACCATTGTTTCATATGTTTCTATTTTTGTTTTTTCAGAAGGGAGGACAGATCTTCTCCCTTTTACTCCATCTTTGTTTAAAATAATTTATATTTGAACTCATTAAAAAAAGAACTTTTATTTTTGAACTAGGGGTACCTGTGAAGGTTTGTTACATTGGTAAACTCGTGTCATGAGGGTTTGTTTTATAGATTATTTCATCAACCAGATATTAAGCTCAGTACTCAGTAAATATCTTCTTTGTTTCTCTCCCTCCTTCTATCCTCCACCCTCAAGTAGACCCCAGGATCTGTTGTTCCCTTCTTCATGTTCATGAGTTCTCATCATTTAACTCCCACTTATAAATGAGAACACTCAGTATTTGGTTTTCTGTTTCTGTGTTAGTTTCCTAAGGATAAGAGCCTCCAGCTCCATCCATGTTCCCACAAAAGACATGATTCCATCCTTTTTATGGCTGCATAATATTCCATGGTGTATATGTACAACATTTTCTTTTTCCAGTCTGTCACTGATGGGCATTTAGGTTGATTCCACATATTTGCTATTGCGAATAGTGATACAATGAACATTTGTGTTCATGTGTCTTTATTGTAGAATATTCATAATTCTTTGGGTATATACCCAGTAATGGGATTGCTGAGTCAAATGGTAATTCTGCATTTAGCTCTTTGTGGAGTCACCACACTGCTTTCTCTAATGGTTTAACTAATTTGTACTCAAGTCAACAGCCAGGTATGGCTATTCAAGTTATACCAAGGGTGAGAAGGGGAATGATTTCTGGTACCAAACAAGGTTTAGTTAACCACTGGTGAATAAGCTTGAAACAGAATTGTATTTTATGTATCCAACTTATATGTGTGAGGTGTTTTGAGACCTAAAACATGAAATAAAGATTCTTGAAAATAGGAGTAGTGGTTTCTGACTTCAAAGAGTAAATTTATTAGGCTTAAATCTCTTATTTTCTTCAAATCAGTCCTTAAAAAGATTCTCAGGCTTTTAATGGAAATCATCAAAATAATTAAATTGCGCACACATGAAAATTAAAGTCAGAGCCAACAGAGAAGCAGGAGAAACATTTCAGCAAATGCAGTAGGAGAAAAAAAAAACAAGACATAAGATCTGTTCACAGAACACTTCCCAAAAGTTACAGATCTGCTCCAGGCAAATAGCAACAGAGAATCACCCTTAAATCTTTTAGAAGATTAGGACCAATAACAAATTAAGCAATAAAAACACAAGGAACACTTGCAGCTCTCTGTACTCCTCTAAATCAAACAACAACAGCAGCAGCAGTGTAGCTTGCATTAATGTTTGTTGAATCAAACAGTTTTTCTTCTCTCTGCTCTGCTTTGTACTTTGAGCTTTGTAGACAGCTGATCATTTTCTGTTGCTATTCTCTGATGTATTTAGCATCTAGAGGTGTATTTACAGACTTATTTGTTGAAATGATGCCGACACATTTTCAAACTACATTGTATGATTCTATTTTTAGAATATTCCTTTGTTTTTTTCTTCTATGTCAGCAATCCTTGATTATTGGTTATTTTATAGAGCCGGCAGAAATCTGAAACGAATGTTGCCTATTTTATTCTTTTTGCCTGTGCCTATCTCAAAATTTGTGGTAATTTTTAGGTTTCTTTATTCTTTCAGTGTATTTTCTTTACCTTCTATTGGATGAATAATATACAATTGCTATCTTTAAATAATTTACATTTTAGTGGCATGATAAAATAGGCATTATAGATAACAGAATGAAAGATTACTAAGTCCCAATACAGGCATTAAGTTAGGTGGTATTTCCTGGAAATAAATGAAGAATAAGAGAAGGAACAAAAAATAAGGTCATATAAAATTTGATTGCAATCAGTATTTGTCACTCTATACTGAAGTCAGTTTTCTTACATCTCTGAGACTTAGAGTTTTTAATCAATAAAATGAGGAAAATTTGTGTTCTACAGAATTGTTTTAAGGATTAAATGAGCTTAATGCAAGATCCAAGTATCTAGTTGATGCAAAAAGATGTTAGTTACATTCATATTAATTCAGGGGCTCAGCGCTTTCATAAAAAATTGGGGCTGTGCCTCAAAAAGGGGCAGAGTTGGTCATATTAAAAATAAAATAATGTAGGGTAATCTAGAAAGAGGTATACATGAATAAAATTATAGATGCAGGAAAGTTCAGGATAGGCTAATGGCACAAAGCATTTGAGGTACCATATACATAGGAACATTTTTAGAGAGAAATCTGAAATAGGAAGCTGAAACATCAAGAAAAATCTTACATACCAGTAAATGTCTATGGATGGCATTCAGGTGGCAAATCAGGCCTCATTTCATAAGTAACCAAACACAAAAAAATTACAGGACTACAGAGCCAAATTGTCCTTCAACTAGGTTATCTGCTATATAATAAACACCCATGCTGGATGTCCCTTTATATGTGTGTGTGTGTGTGTGTGTGTTTGTGTGTGTGTGTGTGTGTGTTTTATACATGTGTTAAAAGGGAATTATGTTTTGTTTTTTTGTATTCATATTATATATAACTCATATATGTATTTACAAGTGAAGAAAAAACTCTCACATATGCCTTTAGGCGTGAGTATACTTTTCAGTTTACAAAGCAATACCCAGATCAGTGCCTAGCACAATGTTAATATTTCATAATAAAATTTGGCACATGAAAATTACTTTAAGAAATACTTTCAAGAAATATTTAGTTCCTAGTTCATTTTTCTGTTTTAAAAAAAGACTTTTTAAACACAAAGCCTAGTTTGCTATAGGCAATTTTTTTTTTTTTTAATGAGATGGACTCTCGTTCTGTCTCCAAGATGGAGTGCAGTGGTGCGATCTTGGCTCACTGCAACCTCCGCCTACCGGGTTCAAGCGATTCTCTTGCCTCAGCCTCCCTAGTAGCTGGGACTACAGGCACGTGCCACCATGCCCAGCAAATTTTTGCATTTTTAGTAGAGACGGACTTTCACCATTTTGGCCAGGATGGTCTTGATCTCCTGATCTCATGATCTGCCCACCTCAGCCTCCCAAAGTGCTGGGATTACAGGTGTGAGCCACCAAACCTAGCTGCTATATGCAAATGTATTATACAGTTTACCTGGTTTCTCCTTGACAAAATTTTCGGCTTAAATTCCTATATATATATATATATATATAAAACTGGGTTATAGGGGAAAAATTGAGAAAAGTTCTATAGACCTCACCTTTGCACATTATGGAAAAAAAATTACTGCACCAATATGTTGCAATAACAAATACTCTACACAATTATTTTAATAGTTGATGACAGGGGAAGACAAAATGGAAACTAGTATGATTTAGTAGCGTCTAAGAACAAGGCATTTTAAACATATAAATTCATTACATTTCTCAACAGTCCTATAAATTCGATCTTACTAACCCTGTTTCACAGATCTGAAAACTCAAACTTAGACAATCTACCTTATATATGTAAGGTAAAAATAGTGGAGATGGAAATCCAACCAGATCTTACTGCCTATTCAAAACCATATATTATGTTCTCACTCATAAGTGGGAGTTGAACAATGAGAACACATGGACACAGGAGGGGAACATCACACACCAGGGCCTGCGGGGGCTTGGGGGGCAAGGGGAGGGGGAGCATTAGGACAAATAACTAATGCATGCAGGGTTTAAAACCTAGATGATGAATTGATAGGTGTAGCAAACCACCATGGCAAATGTATACATATGTAACAATCCTGCACATTCTGCATATGTATCCCAGAACTTTAAGTAAAATTTAAAAAAATCAAAACCATGTGTTAGTTTTCCATTAGTCAAGATGCTTCTTAAAATTTTAACCAATAGTATTATCATGCATATACATAGCCCAATGTACAGAAATTAAATTATTTACCTGCGATAGCTGGTAAAATTGTTTCCCAAATACAACAGTCATAATAAATGCAGCAAACTTTTGGCCATTAGAGCCACATAAGTGGAAGAGTCACATATACTAACATTGATATTTTAAGCTCTTATGTATGTGGATTGCTCACATCAAATAGGGTTGAAGCCAAACTGGTTCTATAGTTACAGTGTTCATTCTTAATGAGCATTTGTTACAACTTTCACTTGCAAGTTTTCTTCATTAAGCACAGACAGACACATGGACACTTATTGAGATACATAAGCCATCTACCCTAGGAAATTAAATCCATAAATGATAATTATTTCAGAAGGATTTTCACCATATTGTGAATATAAAACTTAATTCTTCTGCTTATGTAGTAAAATATCATATGATACTGGAGAAAAAACAACAGATATTGCTTTTCACTTTATCTTATGGAATGTTTAAGAGTCATTTGTTTTATGGATGAATTGAAACAATATCATGCTGCAGTTTCTTAAAAACAAACTTAATGTGTACTTTGGGAAATAAAAACCAACAAAATATTTTTCTGCTGACATTTCATTCCACCAAAGTTAAACCAGGGGAGAATAATAGAGTTGTCCAATGACATGGCAATGCAAAAGAAAACTGTAACATGGTGTATTTTTTGTTTTCAAAAATACTATTCCTGATGACATCATAGTTCAGATAACACATACAAGTGCCTAACACAGAAAGAAATACATGTTATGTGTAGAGGACTGATTAGACTACCTCATGTTTGGGCTAGACATCAATAACAGAGAGTCTATATAGAGAGATGTCTTAAACACATTACTTTAAGTTAAATGAATACACGCAGTGAAGTACTCAAGCCGGAATTCATGTAAACATACACACACACACACACACACACAGAGAGAGAGAGAGAGAGAGAGAGAGAAAGAGAGAGAGAGAGGCAAAGAAAGAAAGGGAGAGGGAGAGAAATAGAAACGAATCAATGAAATGTGAGACTGGTATACTTAAGACAGGGAGAAGGAAATATTGAAACAAAAAAATTAGAACACCTTTGAAAATTAATATATAGAGAAGATTTTTGTTAAAAAATGTCTGTTAGTATGAATTGTCACAGAACCACCAGGGCAAGTATGTCATCTATAAGCTACACATAAAGGCTGAAAATTCTAAGGCTGAAACAGAGAATGAAGTCATTGATATATTTTCATTCCCAAAACCAGTTAAACATATAAGCATCAATGTTAAATGTGAATTAGCAGAAATAAACACTAAAACATTTTATAATATGAAAAAGCACTTCATCTCGTAATAGATAATCCTATAAATCTGCAAATACACAGTAGCAACAATAAAAAGATATTTGTGTTGACACATAGATATATAGTGATATTCATCATCATTACAATATTATATTCAAAGTAATTTGGAATTACTTTGGAATTATTTTTGAATTGAAATTCTTTTTGCCAGTAATTACTTCCAAAGAAACATTAGAACAATTTTGCTTAAAATAATCAACTATTATACCTAGTTATCCGTCATTCATATTCAAACACAAGAGAGAAGCCTTCTTAGGTCTGTCTCAGAAAGTTCATTAGTTTAAGATTTTATCTTCAAGCTTCAGATACCTGAGAGGTGCCCTTTAAAAGAAGAAATTTATAGCCATTTTATTTTTACTGATTATTAGGAGATCATGTTGATATTTCGGTAAGTAAATAAAATGACCGACTACTAATGAAATATGGATTGTTGCTTATAAGCTTAAAAAATGGATATAATTATTGCTATAAAAAGGTCATATAATAAATTTTTACTATAAAAAGGAAGTCAGCAGGGAATTTTAAAAGATTTAAAACTCATAGATTAAATTAATGAAGAAAGAATAAAGATGGAAGTAAGGAAAAAGACAAAATTCCTGTTCCTACAAGATAAGATTTCACAAATGGTTTTTAACACATAAACAAAAATAGATAAGCACAAAAGATTAAATGGGGAACATGGTAGTTTGTAGATTGCAAAATAGTCATGATACTTTGCAGTATCTCTCATCAATAAGTAAGGTCTCTTTCCCTGCTCCTTGAATCTGGGCTGACCTGGGGATCATTTACCTGATAGAGTATGGAGGAAGTGACACTGTGTGAGTTCTCAGCATAGGCCTCAGAAAGCCCTGCAGTTTCTCCTTTCCCTTGGAAATCTGCTGCTATTTGTAGCCCAGCCTGCTCTGTAGAATGAAGAAAACACATGGCTCAGTTATTTCTATCACCTGCACCAACATTCTGCCAACTTCCCAATATGTGAGCTAGGCACTTGTGGATCCTCCAGCCAATATCTGACTTGCCAGATGCACGGCAGAGTCCAGCAGAAATTAGCCAGGGTAGCAAACTTAAATAAATATAACATAAATAACTAGTTGTTCTAAGCCGATAAAATGTGGAGTTGTTTGTTACCTAGCAAAAGCTTACTGATGCAGGGAATGTTTCAAGATAGCAACTAAGGAAAGTAATACTGATATGTTAAAATAAAAAGTAAACATAAATATCAAAAGTCAACCTATGTGTCTTCTCTTTTCTCATAATCCATCTTAAATACATGTATCTTATATTTTCAAGTTTTATGTTGTTTATTGGCCTACAAATACTTTTTAAATGTCTACTATATACCAGGAAAATATGCTGAGGTGAGAAGTGTTTTATGGAGTCCTTACCCCTTTTCACCAGAACATAACTCAGAAATTACCAGGTATAGGAGCAGAAAAGAGACCAAAGGCATCAGAACTGGCTGAAGAAAAATGAGATCAACAAAGGAAGTCAACTCAGTACAAGACATGCCAGCCTGTATTAATTAATAATTAGAGAAGTATTTTTTAGCCAATAGAATTTATGTAGCCTACCTCAGTAACAGCAAGATGCTTGTAAATTTAATTAATTTGAAGGAATATTAATAAATCAGGCTTTGAAAAAAATTTCATGAGGAAACAAAGGACAAAATACACATCCAAAATAAAAGAAACCTAAAAAGCAAATATCAAATTAACCAGCATAATTTTAAAATGCATAAAAAATGACAATGAGAACATCTGAAGCATGCCACTCTCTTGATGATGCCACTTCAGGTATTTAGGGACTAATTATAAAAATTACAAGAAAATCATGGATTGAGGACACAGATAATATCATCAAATACGACCATCATGTATTACTTGATTCCTGCAACATTAAACAAAACTTGAGTCTGCACTTTATGTCATGTTATTAAAAAATGGCACAATGTTAAAAATGGAAAATAAAGGAAAAGAAAATACTAGACATTTCTTTTCATCACACTATCCCAGGAAAACAACTGCTAAAATTTCAGCAATTATTCTCCCAATAGTTATATAGTTTTGTAGGTATGATTTTTTAAATTTTAAGGTATTATTTTATTAACACAGCCCAGAACGTGCTCAGTACTTAAACTCTAATACTAGTGTGCATAGCTTCTATACAAAAATATACTCTCATATAGGTGTTGAGAGCGCAAATTGATACTGTCTTTAGATAGTGAAATTTGGCAAAGTATATCAACATTTTAAAATGTATATGTCATTTGATCCAGAAGTTTTGCAGTTTATCTCTTTATATCTATAATAAATATATACAAAAAGTGAGTTATAGAAATCACATTATTTAAGTAATAAAAATTTTATGGGCTATACATCCAACCAGAAGGTATTGCTAGGTACACTGCAGTATAATAAATATTATTCTACCATCAAAATAATGTTGTGGGAAAAACTAGTGATGTTTTCATGTTGTGACATATTTAGCAAAAAAGCTAATAAACAAGTTACCTAACATTATGACCTAATTTGTAAAGGATGTTTATCAATTTTACATATTCTTACAGTGTGCTGCCCACTGTTTTAAGCACTTAAAACATATTAATTTCTCCAGTCTTAAATCTAACACTCATGTGAAATAGGTACTATAGTTTTTCCCATTTTACCAATAAATACACTAAAGGATGAAGAGTTTAAATAACTTCCCTGAAGTAATGAAACTATTAAAAGGCAGACATTCAAACCCAGCCACTTCATTCCAGTTTGCATTTTAATGTACTATTACCTTAAGTTTTGCAAATCTGTGTGTACATGTGTGCATGTATGTACACCCACACACGCACATAACTTTATGCACATGTGTAAATGAACACATGATATATGTACATACATAATTGTAACAAATTTTAAGCATGTGTGTAATTTTTTTCTGGCATTGTATTATAATCCCAGTCAAGATATATGATGATACTTTATGGTTCAGAATATTCTTAGACTCTGTTAAATGAAATTGGAAAGGCTATTGCAGTGATTACTTAAGACAATATTTTATCATGCAAACAGTTTCTGGGCCATTCTCAACACTTCATATTGTCAAAAAATATTGGTAGAATATAGGGAATCATCCATCGTATTATTTTGTAGCTATAGGTGAAAGTCTGGGGGAAGAAGGTGGAATAACATTTGTACATATTTTTTTATGGACTTTACCCGGGGTGTTTCCAGGTAGTTTCAAGTAATAATCCTTATAAAATTTTTCGACATGGGTATTATTATCTTCAATTTATAGCGAAAGAAACGGAGGTTCAGATAGAAAAAATTTCCCTGGGTCAAACAGCTAGTAAACAGCTATACAAACTCTTCCCATCTCCCAATTTCATGTTTGGTTTTTAACTCTTGTGTTTTTTTCAGTTCAAGCTTTACCATTTTCTCCATTTTTATTAAAAGATGAGATGAGATCCAGAATTTTCCGAAGCGCTTCCCTGAAAAGAAATTGATTTCTACTAGAAAATATTGTCTCTTCAACTCTAAAGGATATAGTGTCTGATATTTTAAACGCCACATGTGGATTTTCCCCTCCCTCCCTTCTGCATTATAACTGGTATACATTTATTCTGTGGCAAAATGCTGTATTTAATAGGAATGTCTAAGATGCCTACGTGATTGTTCCAATAAGCTTAATTGAACAAAAGAAAGCTTTACTGTGAACTCTTCTTGTTAAAGCAACTGATTGTGGAATAAAACATAATGCTATACTCTTCCATTCTCAATCAAAAAGGCAGCTCCCTAAAAGCAGCACTGGAAACTCACCAAGAAAAAAATAAAATTGTTTAAATAGTACCATAGATTATGCATACATGCTTTGGTAATAAATTTCTTAAAAGTGCTAAATATCACATGTTTTCTTCTACCAATTTTTAGACATTTTACTATTATGTCTATTTAGGAATGATTTCTTTACTAACTTCTTTGAGTAAAAAAAATTGTCCAGAAACTCAATGTAAAATTAAAATATAATCTTTGCGGTCAATTTGAAGTGGTTTGGGATATTGGTGACTCACTCTGTCTTACTTCTTCTTATTCTGATTACTTAGATTGCCTTTAATACATTATGATGATGTTAGAAAACATATTTGATTTTATCATACTGTGTATAGTAGCAACAAGAAAAATAATGTTAGGCCTCAACAGATGGGGTTAGATGTTATCTGCAATAATGCTGTATCTCTAGATCTTGTAGAGCCAGGATTATATCTAAAACAGCGTTCACAGGTGTATCAGGTGATAATATTAGTTAAGACATAATGCTTCTCTTAGTTGAAAAAAATGTAGCTGTTGTTTTTATTCATGAAGTAGTTTCTAGAATGTCAGTAATGAAACACTTGTTTTGATCTCCAGATATGAGATAAATCCAATCTACAAACCATATTTTATCGTTGTGTTCCAAAGGCCTGACATGACACTCTACAAATTTAATATTAATCCTCACCTCTTACTTTATATACAGTGACATATTTGCCATTAAAATTTTTAAATTTGTTACTCAGTTGCATTGGATTTGGATTGAAATGAAAAAGGAGATGATAGTTAACTTACATGGAATTAGAAGATTGAATTTAAATTAGAAATTTAATAATTCTTAAATTAATAAAAGAACTTTATTTGTAAAAGTAATCTGAAAACAAAACAAAGCAAAAAAAACCTTACACTAAAAAACGAATTTGCTTTGGGCTGGGAGAAAAATAGTGAGTAGATAAATGGCATAATTTAACGTTGTTAAAACTCTAGAAAGCTGAGTTTTTGCCAATTATTTCCATTTCTTCCCATTTCTAGGCTTTTAGTAGATTTGTACTTTCTACCTCTCTGGTAGTTGAGTAAGGCTATATAACCAGTTCTGATCAATGAGTTTCTAGTGTAGCTTTCAAACTGGAGCATTCAATTGTTTGCACAGGACCTCCAAAGCAATATTTCTACTCTGACACGAAAATGAGAAATATAGAAGATGATTATTGTCCATTAGTCTGGATACTTATAGAAATATGTTGAGTAAGATGATCTTGGTGATTTGGAAAATACATAGCATAAAAAAGAAAATGATATATATTCTTTTAAAACGTGAATATTACAGGTTGTTTTTTATTGCAATATAATTTAGTCTATCCTGATCTATATACAAATTGATGCCTAGAAATAAGGTGCTACAATTAAAAAAAAGACCCTAAAATGTGTGGCACTGCCCTAAAAGTCAGGCTGGAGGTGGTAGAGCAACTGACACTGAATGGCAGAAAGATGAAAATTCAATTAGTATTATTATCTTAGGCAGCGGCAAAACATTTGATAAAACTGTAGACTGTGATGACTTGCAAGGCAGATAATTCATCGAGTGATATATATGATTACACACTACACACATATAATGTTACACTATAGGAGAAGAGTTGGGAAAATACTGGGATAGTAGCATGTATTGGTTAATATTGGAAGCATTGACAAAGTACTACAAGAACAATAAAATGTCATAAGAAAAGATCACCTAGTTTGCAAGCAGAAAAGTGAGAAAACAAAGTAAAGAACTGTATCTTTTTTAGCTTTGTAAAATAATTACTACTTATACTCACCCACTAAAAATGCAATGGCAGTGACCACTGAGTAACAAAAACCTATTTGAATCATCATATGGCAAAGATCAAATAAAGAGGTTAGTTATCATGCCCACTATTAAACCTTGAATAAATTAATGATGCCCTCAGTAAATCTTTTCATTTAGACAAATATTTCAGGGAAAAGAGATTAATTTACTGGAAGCAGTCTAAGAAAGCTCCTTGTCCTTCCAGGGGAACATATTCTTCAATACTTATTTCAGATTGAGCCAGGGAAGTTAATAAAATAGAGGGAGCCTCTCAAAGAGTAGAACTGAAAGCCATGAAAAACGATGGATAAGACACCCTCCTAAAGAACAAAGGCCTAATTCCTCAAGTGTGCAATTGGATTTCAAAATTGCTGTGAACCAGTAACTTGTTGCTCTCTCATTCTTCTCCTTACTAAACAAAAAATATATATGGTTACTCTGACTATATTTTAGCATGATGTATTAGATTTTTAGGTTATAAATTTATAAATTAAAACTTGTCCTTTAGTTTATAGATTTTCATATAAAAATAAACATTAGAGTCTGACATACAGACTACCATGCATCACTCAGAAATGTGGAATTTTGACCTTGATATTGTTACTAAATAGGGCACTTTGAATGTCTCTTGGGAAATAAGTGAGTGTACTTACCACGTGTTAATGAAGTTTAATAGAATATTTACTAATTGGAGGAATAGACTTTTTCAGTAATTATTGCTGCTTTTCAAATATTTCCACCTAGTTTTCTTTCTTGGTACATAATATTATTGAGCTTTCTGGCTCCCAATGTATTGACCGGCCCATGTAACTAGATATATTCAACAACATAAGGCCTTTTCATTATTCCTTCTTGTGTTATCTTAGCAATTTTGAGTATGTTCTACCTTTGTTTCCTTACTGTGCTGCAATTCATTTTTCTTACAGTTGAATGAAACATATAAAATGATTATCAATCCATTTTTGGTAGAGGAATAAAATCTTTTTAAATTTATCTGCAGAAAATCAAAGTTGTCGTTTTTTACTCATTGGCTACATTGCTGCTTCAAATGAGTTACATGACATTATCATAACACTATTGCTTGCTTGACTGCAGTTAGCATTACTTTCTGGAGATTATGGTAACTGTTTCATATCTATATATCAGCAGCTCAATATGTCAAAATCATATGGATTAATCCATCTTGATTTTACAGCATAATCTGTATTAGAAGGACAATCCAAAATTTGAAAATGAGGAAAATGCAAGTTAAAAGTAGGGCTGAAGAGATTATGGGATGATATGATTCAGCTTAGAGAGGTCTCACTTTAGAGCTTGTTGTGTTTCACTTATTCCTTGTTTCATGTTTTGAACTTTTTTATTTTGAAATATTGACACACACACACGCGTGCACACACACACACACACACATATATATATAATTATAACAACCAAGAATCATATTTAAAAACCTTCTCCTAAACTGAGAGGAAGCCAAAAGACCAAAGAGTAACTCAGACAAGTCCAGCTTGGCAAACAGATGAGTTTATTAGGACATACATATGAGGCACTCCTGGGTGGCAGCAAAACAGCTTTAGAGATCCATGCTAACCTTTGTCTTTAAACAACTTTTAAGCTAATTTTCTGGCTCTTTGCCTACTATGTCTAAGCAATGAAACTGTCTTTCCTGGTAGGTTCTCAGATATTCTCCAGAATATTTGGTTTCTCAAGGAAACTTGCTCCTTGGCTGGGCCACATGACTTTGGCTTATGTCCTGGCCTTCAGGGTTTAGGCAGTGGACATAGCACCTGGTTGGGGACTAATCACTACAATAATGAGATATCTTGGGAATAGCTTCCAAATCTAAACATGAAATTTTATTTATATTTCATATACATGTTCATTTAAACATAACCTGAAGGTAATTTTATTTTCCCTTGGGGACTCTGAAAAAATTGTGTGTTGTCCACTTGTGTTTTAACTATAACTTACCACATGGAGCCAAGTTTAATTTTTCACTTGTGGCATTATGTCAGTGCTCAAAAGTTTCAAATTTTGGAGCATTTCAGATTTTTGAATATTTAGATGAGGCATGTTCAATCTGTAGTAAACATTTTAAGAAATAGGAGCAAGAAAGGATAAATAGATAGGACTAGTGGATATGGAAGAAAAGGACTTCCAAATGTCAGATTGAAATATGGACTCAGGCAATGAAATTGTGTTAATAACATAAAATCTTGTCCTGTATTGATTTACACCAAATGAAGAGAATCAAAATTTTGTCTTAAAAGTAGGACCTGTGTGCTAAAAAATAGTGCACAAAAACAGACTAAGTGCTTGAAATCTAAACCAAACTTACTGCGGTTACTTGCCTTTGTTGTGATTTACTTCATCTTCCATGGCTCATGCTTCTCAGACCTCCAGTTAGCTAGAATCATGATGAGCTTCTTTCTAAGTCTGTGTTGCTATAAGGAAATACCTGAGACTGACTATGAAACAGGTTTACTTGGCTCACGGCTCTGCAGGCTGTATAAGAAGCATGGCACCAGCATCTGCTTTTGATGAGGGCTGCAGGCTGTTTCCACTCATGGTGCAAGGCAAAGCAGAGACAGCTCATGTGGACATCACATGGGAAGGGAAGAAGTTGGTGGGGGTTGGAAGGTGCTAGGTTTAAAAAAAAAAAAACAGCTAATAAAGTGAGAACTCATCCCCCAACACAAGGGCATTAATCTATTCATGAAGGATCCACCCCCAGGACCCAAACACCCCCCTTATATCCCCACTTCCAACACTGGGGATTAAATTTCAACTTGAGATTTGGAGAGGTCAAGTATCCAAACCAAAGCAGCTGCACACTTGCATCATCAGTGGACAAGCTCATGGTGGTCAAAAGTGACATACTTAACGAACAAGACAAGGAAGTATTCAGAGATTACATTCTTAAGGGCATTGTTTTCAAAGGAAACCTTCTCCTCTCTCAAACCATTTTCTGGTTGGTGGTGACAAAAAGATTATTGAAGCAACAGAAACCTACTTAAAGTTATTACCTGTTTGAGGAAATACACATATTATATTTCATATTTTATCTCAATCGTTCAGATAGGTACTATTGATAAATGATGGATAAGGAAGTATGGGGGGTAGAAAGAGAGAGATTTGCATAGTGAAAAATTACATTTGGTGCCTGTGAATAAATTGAGGGAGAAAAAGTTCTATAATGAGAGACAATAAACTAGTATACTAACTATAAGCCAAACCAGCTCTTAAACTAAAACGATGTACTTTCATTGTGTGTGGTGTGTCTGTATGGGTTTGCAGTTAATGAGTCTTATTGGTTTAGCATTTTAATAACTCAGCAACAAGTTAACTTAAAAGAATTAACAAATTCAGCTGGTGCGGTGGCTCACGCTTGTAATCCCAACACTCTGAAAGGCCAAGGCAAGCAGATGATTTGAGGTCAGGAGTTTGAGACCAGACTAGCGAACATGGTGAAACCCTTTATCTACTAAAAATACAAAAAGTAGCTAGGCATGGTGGCATGTGCATGTAATCCCAACTACTCGGTAGGCTGAGGTGGAAGAATCACCTGAACCAGGGAGATGGAGGTTGCAGTGAGCCGAGATCCAGCCATTGCACTCCAGCCTGAGTGACAGAGTGAGAGCCCATCTTAAAAAAAACAAAACGAAACGAAAAAACAGAATTAACAAACTCGATTGGTTCCAGGTACGAACACAATAAGTTGTAATTTGTGTTACAATAATTTTATACTAAATCTTTCAGCTTTTGATAAATTGCAATTTGAATTAATATTGCACACTCTGAAAAATTGTGTACTTTTTCTGACTATTCTTGCATTAATAACCACCTTTCTCTATGGGAAGAAGAGTGCCATAAGAAATACTCAAATCCAGCCAGGCGCGGTGGCACATGCCTCTAACCCCAGCACTTTGGGAGGCTGAAGCAGGTGGATCACGAGGTCAGGAGTTCAAGACCAGCCTGACCAACATGGCGAAACCCTGTCTGTACTAAAAACACAAAGGTTAGATGGGAGTGGTGGTGCGTGCCTGTAATCCCAGCTACTCTGGAGGCTGAGGCAGGAGAATCACTTGAACCTGGGAGGCGGAGTTTGCAGTGAGCCCAGATTGTGCCACTGCACTCCAGCCTGGGCGACAGAGCAAGACTCCATCTCAAAAAAAAAAAAAAATCTCAAATCCTCGTCTCTCCTTATGCCAGGCCCATTGCTCCATTCAATAGGCGTCCAATTGTGAGGAATTAAAAGTATTTATAAGCAAAACTTAAATACATAATTTTATGCTAACTTTCAACAAAAACAATCAATACTAACGTGATACAGGCTCATTTTGTAGTTCAATTAAATTGAGCCAAACACTGATGGGATCTTTCTATCGTATACAGTTTTAAGGTATTGTTTAGGAACATAAGTGAGTATCCATATATTAACATAAATATTTTGTCTTAATGTGCTGTAGAGAGAATATTCTGTTGTGTACAGTTGCAGGGAGTTCACAAGCAAGCTCATCCATTTTTTCGTTCTCTTTTTTTCCACATTGCCACCCACCCCCACCTTGTCTTCATTTTATTAAACAGCTTATGTATGTGAACAAAACTATTTTGGTAGCTGATAATGAAGAAAACAGAGATGTGCACTGTGGTTTATATGATATGTCAACTATAATGTAGATGCATGTTTCTAGTTTTTAAATAAAATTAACAATTTTATTTATAATTAAACAATTTGCACATGATGAAATTTTCTTCACTTCCATATGGAAGTATTGCAAAAACATTCTTTAAATAAGCTTTGTAATTTTTTCTCATCTCATTATATTTATAATACCTCCTTTCTGTCTCTATCTCTTCATCTTTCTCTCTCTCATTCTATCCCAAGAACCTCTCTGTAAATATTTACAGTACTTGAAGTTGCTCATACTTACATCTAGTGTGGTGTTTAGAGGAAACAATTGAGTCAATCGGTCTTCTTATTTTACTAAGAATTGAGAAAGAATAACTTAGGAAGAGCATATATTCCCTAATATCTGAAAAATCTATTTAATTAATATGAAATGCTTGGGCACAAATTAACCTACTCTTGTAATTTGGTCCTCTGCCCATTAATGTAAGCTCTAGAGAGAATGATTTGCCATATTAAAAAATATGAATAAAAGCCATTGAAGTTTAAATTACAAAGCAAAACAAAACCAAAAAAAAGTATTAGGTGGTTTCCCCCTTTAATTTTGCTGATGAAACAATTCTTGTACATTATCCCCATGATGGTTTCTCATGCTATTAGGAAATCTAATTAGGTATTTAGGGGTATGTTTCTAAAGAAATGGTTTATTTAATAAAGAAAAGTAAACAATTGACAATGTGCATTTTCAATTTGTGGCAAGAAACCTGTCTATTTAATGTTTAAAAAGAAAATTTAGTTTTTACTGTTAATAATAAATTCATTCAGTGACACTACAAGAAAGGAAATAGTAAAAACAACTTATTTTCTTTTTGCGGATAATAAGTTCTTTGTACCTTAAGTAAATATTCAGCAACAAATGTAAACATAAAGTGCAGTATGAAAAAATTATTTACCCAGCATGTTGTAGTTAATCATTGTATACTCCTTCATACTTGGAGAGATCTTTAATTTTTTTATTAGACTTCTAACGTTAAATATTTAGAATCTTTGCCTTTATTAGCCATTTTGAATATACATTGTATAAATAGAAAATTATTGATTCTAGCTGAAAAATTTCCTTCACATATAGACTTTATACATGCATAAACATTAGTTTTCTTGTTAACATCTTAAAAATACAGAATTTAAACCTAAAATTAATTTATAATTTTTGGGCACAGTTTTTAGTGCCATTTTGTGAATTATCACCCATATACCTGTCCGCATAATTACTGTTCCCATGTATCTAAAACACTGGAAAATCAGGTAACAAGTGTGCTCAAGATGAAGGGCAATAAAGTCTGATGGCAGTTCCAGGATATTCAGGGAGTGAATATTATCAAATATGTAAGAGAATTTATTGTTGAGAGATTTGTACAATACTTACCAATCCTATATAAGGATTGATTCGTTCTTACTACAACAAATTCAATAGAAGATCCCCTCTGCGGATGAAGTTAGAATACACATATAGGAGATCTATGAGAGCATATTTTGGATGCAGAGCTCTCAGTATAGACACAGTGTCAGTGAAAATGAGAAGTGGGGTTCCTTGATCACCTAAACGTTATTTTACTTTTGTTGATGTGTGAGTGTGTATTTAGCAGTAATTCACTAGTAGGTGGAATGTTCTATATATGAAATAGGCCAGTTTGTCTTCTCTAGTTTACTAATTAGTTTATGTTCATTCTGTCAATTCCTGAGAGAGGCCTGTTAAAATCCTCCACTCTGATGGAGTAGATATATTTATATTTATTTATATTTTTTTCTTTTTGTCAATTTTTGCTTTATATAAATAGAAATCACATTATTAGGTATTAATTTTATTATTGTTGTATCTTCAAAATAGACTGACCTCTCCACGGTTATTGTCTCTAGTAATGCTTATTACTTTAAAGTGTGTATTATCAGCTTTCATCCATATATGCCAGCTTTCTTTTGGTAATTATTTGCATGGTATGTGATTTTCCTGCTTTCACTTTAAAACTTTCTATGGCCTAATATTTAAAATGTGTCTCTTTTAAGCAACATATAAATTTTTGTTTGGTTTGTTTGTTTTGTTCTGTATGACGGTGTTAGACTTTTATTTAGATATTTGGTCCAATTATATTTAATGTAATTATCAATATAATGGGTTTATATATAGCATATATATATCTGTTTTCTATTTTTTGGGCCTCCTTCATGTTACTTTTACTCTTTTTTCTTGGCTTACTTTGTATTAATATTTTTACTGCTATTCATTTTGTCTCCACTTTTAACTTATGCATGCTTTTATTATGTTTTAGTAGTTGCCTTAAATATTCCAACATAAATTTTTAATTTATTAACATAATATGAGAAATTGGCATTATAAATTACCATCTGGCACTACTGAGGCAATGCTAGGACCTTTTTTAGATTGGGAGTTTTTTCTTGGGCCTTTATTGATAAGGGGTTTGTTGCCTTTCAAGTTGTTTTATAGTAAAAAAACAAAATGCTTTCTTAAACTTTCAGACAATTCTCCAAAATAATACTTATGTCTATACTTAAACATTCAAACATTTATGTGACTTATTGAACTCTAAAACATATTATAGAACTCTTTTTATGTATCTGTAAAACATCCTTTAAAAGTAAAGATTAGTACTGTTAACAACGACTGATAAAAAAGTCTGAACTTAATGTGAAATATTGATAAATAAATAACATTCGATATCCCTTAAAAATAAACATACAAACTAAAATTGGTGTTTTGCTATGAAATCATAGCCCCAAGACATACTCCTTACCCTTTTGACCTAGAGACCTGTCTCTTACTGTTTAAGTTATTATTTTCATAACAAAAAATTTTGCATTGTGATTGAATCTATCTTTTATTTAATCATCTCATGTTTTTGCATTGGAAAACAAAGCATTATTTGTTACTGAAAATTTCTACTCTACTTTCAAGTGAGTTCTAAATTATGCATTACATTTTATGTGAATAGGAATACATACAAAAGCAAATTAGAATTTTAGAAATATATTGACTACTTATTAAAATAAATAAGAAGCCCCTTGCCTTTGACAGTTTAAGTCTAAGAACAATAAGACTCTTTAATAAATTTTCCCCTCTATATTCCAATAAGATTGGGCTTTAATTATTAGGAGAGGAATATTTATAAGAATCATTTGTACATAATAATCACCTAATCTAGCTATCTTGGTGATAGCAAAAATCATGAAAATCACACTCTGCAAGGCTTTTAATAATAGTTCCCACTTTTAAAATTAAAAATAATATATTTTAAGACTATATAGCTTTGCAAAGAGGACTATAGGGAAATAACCACTCTACTACACTAACAAAATGTTGTAAAAGTTTTATTTTTGTAGGTTCTTTCTAATGTAAAATAGTAGACTTTAGTTGAAAGAGTTTGGATTGATTTCTTATTCCCTGGCGAATTCAGTTCACTTCCCTACTACCGAGTGTTTTCTATAAGATAAATTAAATTACTATTTGATTATCTCTTCAATATTCTTTATTTTAAATAATATAAAACACTTTAACAAATATTGACCCAACCCTCCTTTTTTCCCCCCACAGTGAATTCCTTAGGTATGAGACAGAGAACTAGCATGTTTCCTATCCTTCAAATGGTCATAGGAATTCTCCCAACTGTTGTTGGCTTCTGTTGTGGAAGAGGTTTGTGAGGTCTGATTAAGTGCACATAAAAAATAATATACATACCTATGATCAGCAATTACAATAGGAAGGCATTTATAGGTCTGTTAGCATGTTAGCATAACTACTATTAAAAATAATGACAACTCATTATCATATAACACTATTTCCATGTGTTCTACTGTAAATTCAATGTTAAACTTCGGGAAAAATAAGAAAAATATACTTGTATCTTGTTTTTTACAGTGTGAAATTGAACTTCCATTGTTTCTTTCTATGATCTGGTCTTGTTATTTTATATATTTTCTCTCAAGTTGTATTAAGGTATAATTAACAATATAATTTTGTTTATTCAATTTTACATAACAACATTTGAGACTGAAAAAAAATGTACTCAGTTCCTAGTTTATTTCTTTCCACTATTTTACACAAATCAAATCTTCAATAAAATATCAATAGTATACCTATAGCCACAACAACTTAAAAATAACTCTAACTCAAAAACTGAAAGTTACATTTGGAAACACATACACACTACTACTACTACGACTATTACTACTACTACTACTGCTGCTGCTACTACTACTTTGCTTTCTGATTGCTATGACAGGATAAACTGATTCCCCAGCCTAATTGTGTTCTTATGACTCAGATAACTAGACTAAGGAAGTAATATAAATTACTTAAATAGATCACACTTTACGGATTGGGAGTTGGTCACGACTGTCAGTGTAATAGAGCTCATGTCCATGCAAGTTCAACGTTAAAACATATCAACCAGTTTGTAGATAACATACAACTGTAGATGCTGAAAAAGGGTAGTCTAGGAAGACAGACAGGAGACAGCTAATAGCAAAATATGTTTATCTTGTGATCTAGTGACTTAAAGCTCCAAGTTAGTAGATTCCTGATGAGAAAGCTGATGATGATTAACTTTCAGAATTCTTAAGTTAAACGGCAATGGAGACTGTAAAAATTAACTAACCTACAGGGTTAAATAAATGCTGACTGCTGCCTTTCTCTAAGGGTTTAGAAAGGATTGAGTAAGAGCATATATTTAAAGGTGAGCTAAAGTAATCAATGCAGTTTTAGGCAACGAATAGTGAGGTTTTGAAGGGCAGATATGGTAGTTATTGTTTTGGGGAGAGGAACAAAAAACATGATTGTGTTTGGAAGAATTTACAAACAATGTTTTGGTTGGGGTATTTCTGAAGTTGTCTTCTGGTTTAATCCACAGTTAATATTTTACACTTCTCTAAAACATTCCCACAAATTTATAATATGACAGAAAGCATATTATCTACTGATGTATTAACTTTCATTTTTAAAAGATCTAATTCCGGCCGAGCGTGGTGGCTCATGCCTGTAATCCCAGCACTTTGGGAGGCCAAGGCGGGCGGATCATGAGGTCAGGAGTTCGAGACCAGCCTGACCAACATGATGAAGCCCCATGTCTACTAAAAATATGAAAATTAGCCAGGCGTGGTGGCGGGTGCCTGTAGTCCCAGCTACTCAGGAGGCTGAGGCAGGAGAATCGCCTCAACTTGAGGCAGAGGTTACAGTAAGCCAAGATCACGCCACTGCATTCCAGCCTGGGTGACAGAGCGAGACTTCATCTCAAAAAAAAAAAAAAAAAAAAGATCTAATTTTTAGAAATGTCTTTCACATAAAGAGGAGAACATTTATCCCTACATTCCTAATTATTATTTCCAGTTTTGCTCTTTAAAATTATATATACTAAGTCCAATCCCATATAATTGATATATAAACCCATAAACTTATGTGAAGGGAATTAGGCTTCCAAGAATCGTCATGTCTCTGGGTTAAAAATCCTGAGTTCTTAAAACATGCTTATGAATCTTTCCCCTCCGTGCTTCTTCTTTATGCTTTTCACAAGCAGAGTTGAGATTTTTGAGGTGAGAATTATGTTTAGGAATGAGAGGTAGAGAATTATAGCCACAAAAATGAGTCCAATTTAGTATCTTGAGATCAGTTGTAAATTTACCTAAAATGTTGATAGTAAGTACATAAGATATTTAAGACTATAGATTAACAATATAACTATTTAATTGAAAATATTTATCGAAGACCTATTATGCCAAATCTATCTATTAATCCCCAGGGATATAGTTTTGTTTACCACTATTTAAAAAAAAAAAAATACAAGGAGGCCGGGTGCGGTGGGTCATGCCTGTAATCACAGCACTTTGGGAGGTTGAGGTGGGTTGATCATGAGGTGAGGAGATTGAGACCATCCTGGCCAACATGGTGAAACCCTGTCTCTACTAAAAGTACAAGAATTAGCTGGGTGTGGTGGCACATGCCTGTAATCCCAGCTACTCGGGAGGTTGAGGCAGGAGAATCTCTTGAACCCGGGAGTTGGAGGTTGCAAAGAGGCTAGATTGTCCCACTGCATTCCACCCTGGTGACAGAGCGATACTCCATCTCAAAAAAGAAAAAACAGAAAACAAGGAAATAGGAAGCTAAGATGAAAAAGAAAGCATTGTAGCATGTATCAAACTAGAAGAAAGAAAAGAGGGGAAAATATTAAATATCTCAAATTCTAAGAATATTCATAATCTAATCTAAGAATCCTTAGTATATTTAAGTTGAACAAATGTAAAATTGTAAGTAATATATTGTCAGTTTAGCAATCTGCTAGAAGGAGCCAAACTTTAGCCCACTAATGTTCATAAAAGTGTAACTCTCTTTAAATAAGAGAGTGACTCACTTTGAGTGAAGTATCTCGTTCTTGGTTGTATATAATCAAAAATACCAAATCAAAATACTAATTTTTGAAAAATGGAAAATGCTGCTGATGTTTTAATAATTTTTTATTATACTTTAAGTTCTATGGTACATGTGCACAACTTGCAGGTTTGTTACATATGTATACATGTGCCATGTTGGTGTGCTGCACCAATTAACTCGTCATTTACATTAGGTATTTCTTCTAATGCTATCCCTCCCCCCTTCCCCCACCCCACGACAGGCCCCGGTGTGTGATGTTCTCCATCCTGTGTCCAAGTGTTCTCATTGTTCAATTCCCACCTATGAGTGAGAACATGAGGTGTTTGGTTTTCTGTCCTTGCAATAGTTTGCTCAGAATGATGGTTTCCAGCTTCATCCATGTCACTACAGAGGACATGAATTCATCCTTTTATGGCTGCACAGTATTCCATGGTGTATATGTGCCACATTTTCTTAATCCAGTCTATCATTGATGGACATTTGTATTGGTTCCAAGTCTTTGCTATTGTGAATAGTGCCACAGTAAACATACGTGTGCATGTGTCTTTATAGTAGCACGATTTATAATACTTTGGGTATATACCCACTAATGGGATCGATGATGGGTCAAACAGTATTTCTAGTTCTAAATCCTTGAGGAATCACCACACTGTCTTCCACAATGGTTGAACTAGTTTAAACTCCCAACAACAGTGTAAAAGTGTTCCTATTTCTCATCTCCTCCAGCACCTGTTGTTTCCTGACTTTTTAATGATTGCCATTCTAACTGGTGTGAGATGGTATCTCATTGTCGTTTGATTTGCATTTCTCTGATGACCAGTGATGATGAGCATTTTTTCATGTGCCTGTTGGCTGCATAAATGTCTTCTTTTGAAAAGTGTCTGTTCATATCCTTCGCCCACTTTTTGATGGGGTTGTTTGATTTTTTCTCGTAAATTTGTTTAAGTTCTTTGTAGATTCTGGATATTAGCCCTTTGTCAGATGCACAGATAGCAAAAATTTTCTCCCATTCTCTAGGTTGCCTGTTCACTCTGATGGTAGTTCCTTTTGCTGAAGCTCTTTAGTTTAATTAGATCCCATTTGTCTATTTTGGCTTTTGTTGCCATTGCTTTTGGTGTTTTAATCATGAAGTCCTTGCCCATGCCTACGTCCTGAATGGTATTACCTAGGTTTTCTTCTAGAGTTTTTATGGTTCTAAGTTTAAAATTTAAGTCTTTAATCCATCTTGAATTAATTTTTGTATAAGGTGTAAGGAAAGGATCCAGTTTCTGCTTTCTACATATGGCTAGCCAGTTTTCCCAGCACCATCTATTAAATAGGGAATCCTTTCCCCATTTTTGATGTGCTGCTGGGTTTGATTTGTCAGTATTTTATTGAGGATTTTCGCATCAATGTTCATCAGGGATATTGGTCTAAAATTGTCTTTTTTTGTTGTATCTCTGCCAGGCCTTGGTATCAGGATGATGCTGGCCTCATAAAATGAGTTAGGGAGGATTCCCTCTTTTTGCATCGATTGGAATAGTTTCAGAAGGAATGGTACCAGCTCCTCTCTGTACCTCTGGTAGAATTTGGCTGTGAATCCGTCTGGTCCTGGACTTTTTTTGGCTGGTAGGCTATTAATTATTCCCTCAATTTCAGAGCCTGTTACTGGTCTCTTCAGCAATTCAACTTTTTCCTGGTTTAGTCTTGGGAGGGTGTATGTATCCAGGAATTTATCCATTTCTTCTAGATTTTCTAATTTATTTGCGTAGAGATGTTTATAGTATTCGCTGATGGTAGTTTGTCTTTCTGTGGGATCTGTGGTGATATCCCCTTTATCATTTTTTATTGCATCTATTTGATTCCTCTCTTTTCTTCTTTATTAGTCTTGCTAGCGGTCTATCAATTTTGTTGATCTTTTCAAAAAACCAGCTCTGGATTCATTGATTTTTTGAAGGATTTTTTGTGTCTCTATTTCCTTCAGTTCTGCTCTGATCTTAGTTATTTCTTGCCTTCTGCTAGCTTTTGAATGTGTTTGCTCTTGCTTCTCTAGTTATTTTAGTTGTGATGTTAGGGTGTCAATTTTAGATCTTTCCTGCTTTCTCTTGTGGGCATTTAGTGCTATAAATTTCCCTCTACACACTGCTTTAAATGTGTCCCAGAGATTCTTGTACATTGTGTCTTTGTTCTCATTGGTTTCAAATGACATCTTTATTTCGGCCTTCATTTCGTTGTTTACCAAGTAGCCATTCAGGAGCAGGTTGTTCAGTTTCCATATAGTTGTGTGGTTTTGAGTGAGTTTGTTAACCATGAGTTCTAATTTGATTGCAGTGCGATCTGAGAGACAGTTTGTTGTGATATCTGTTCTTTTACATTTGCTGAGGAGTGCTTTACTTCCAACTATGTGGTCAATTTTGGAATAAGTGAGATGTGGTGCTGAGAAGAATGTATATTCTGTTGATTTGGGGTGGAGAGTTCTGTAGATGTCTATTAGGTCTGCTTGGTGCAGAGCTGAGTTCAAGTCCTGGATATCCTTGTTAACCTTCTGACTCCTTGATCTGTCTAATATTGACAGTAGGGTGTTAAAACCTCCCATTATTATTGTGTGGGAGTCTAAGTCTCTTTGTAAGTCTCTAAGAACTTGCTTTATGAATCTAGGTGCTCCTGTATTGGGTACATATATATTTAGGATAGTTAGCTCTTCTTGTTGCACTGATCCCTTTACCATTATGTAATGGCCTTCTTTGTCTCTTTTGATCTTTGTTGGTTTAAAGTCTGTTTTATCAGAGACTAGGATTGCAACCCCTGCTGCTTTTTTGCTTTCCATTTGCTTGGTAGATCTTCATCCCTTTATTTTGAGCCTATGTGTGTCTCTGCACATGAGATGGGTCTCCTGAATACAGCACACTGATGGGCCTTGACTTTTTATCCAATTTGCCCGTCCGTGTTTTTTAATTGGGGCATTTAGCCCATTTACATTTAAGATTAATATTGTTATGTGTGAATTTGAATGTATCATGATGTTAGCTGGTTATTTTGCCCATTAGTTGGTGCAGTTTCTTCTTAGCATCTATGGTCTTTACAATTTGGCATGTTTCTGCAGTGGCTGGTACTGGTTGTTCTTTTCCGTGTTTAGTGCTTCCTTCAGGAGCTCTTGTAAGGCAGGCCTGGTGGTGATAAAATCTCTCAGCATTTGCTTGTCTGTAAAGGATTTTATTTCTCCTTTGCTTATGAAGCTTAATTTGGCTGGATATGAAATTCTGGGTTGAAAATTCTTTTCTTTAAGAATGTTGAGTAATGGCCCCCACTCTCTTCTGGCTTGTAGGGTTTCTGCCGAGAGATCCGCTGTTAGTCTGATGAGCTTCCCTTTGTGGGTAACCCGACCTTTCTCTCTGACTGCCCTTAGCATTTTTTCCTTCATTTCAACCTTGGTGAATCTGACAATTATGTGTCTTGGGGTTGCTCTTCTCCAGGAGTATCTTTATGGCATTCTCTGTATTTCCAGAATTTGAATGTTGGCCTGCCTTGCTATGTTGGGGAAGTTCTCCTGGATAGTATACTGAATAGTGTTTTCCAGCTTGGTTCCATTCTCCCCGTCACTTTCAGGTACACCAATTAAACAGAGATTTGGTCTTTTCACATAGTCCCATATTTCTTGGAGACTTTGTTCATTTCTTGTTACTCTTTTTTCTCTAAACTTCTCTTCTCGCTTCATTTCATTCATTTGCTCTTCAATCACTGATACCTTTTCTTCCACTTGATTGAATCAGCTACTGAAGCTTGTGCATGTGTCACGTAGTTCTTGTGCCATGGTTTTCAGCTCCATCAGGTCATTTAAGGTCTTCTCTACACTGTTTATACTAGTTAGCCATTCGTCTAATCTTTTTTCAAGGTTTTTAGCTTCCTTGCAATAGGTTCAAACATCTTCTTTTAGCTTGGAGAAGTTTGTTATTATCAACTTTCTGAAGCCTACTTCTGTGAACTTGTCAAAGTCATTCTCCGTCCTGCTTTGTTCCATTGCTGGCGATGAGCTGCGATCCTTTGGAGGAGAAGGGGCACTCTGGTTTTTACAATTTTCAGCTTTTCTGCTCTGGTTTCTCCCCATCATTGTGGTTTTATCTACCTTTGGTCTTTGATGATGGTGACCTACAGATGGGGTTTTGGTGTGGATGCCCTTTTTGTTGATGTTGATGCTATTCCTTTCTGTTTGTTAGTTTTTCTTGTAACAGTCAGGTCCATCAGCTGCATCTCTTGGAGTTTGCTGGAGGTCCACTCCAGATTCTGTTTGCCTGGGTTTCACCAGTGGAGGCTGCAGAACAGCAAATATTGCAGAACAGCAAATATTGCTGCCTGATCCTTCCTCTGGAAGCTTCGTCTCAGAGGGCACCCTTCTGTATGAGGTGTCAGTCAGCCCCTACTGGGAGATGTCTCCAAGTTAGGCTACACAGGGGTCAGGGACCCACTTGAGGAGGCAGTCTGTGAGTTCTCAGAGCTCAAACACCATGCTGGGAGAACCACTGCTTTCTTCAGAGCTGTCAGACAGGGACATTTAAGTCTGCAGAAGTTTCTGCTGCCTTTTTATTCAGCTGTGCCCTGCCCCCAGAGGTGGAGTCTACAGAGGCAGGCATGCCTCCTTGAGCTATGGTGGGCTCCACCCAGTTCAAGCTTCCTGGTGGCTTTGTTTACCTACTCAATCCTCAGTGATGGTGGACGCCCCTCCCCCAGCCAGGCTTGCCGCCTTGCAGTTCCATCTCGGACTAGCAGTGAACAAGGCTCCATGGGCATAGGGACCCACTGAGCCAGGTGCGGGATATAATCTCCTGGTATGCCATTTGCTAAGACTGTTCTAAAAGTGCAGTTTTTAGGTGGCAGTGTCCCGATTTTCCCCGTATAGTCTGTCATGGATTCCCTTGGCTAGGAAAGGGAAATCCCCCAACCCCTTGTGCTTCCGAGGTGAGGCGATGCCCCGCCCTGCTTTGGCTGTCCCTCCGTGGGCTGCACCCACTTTCCGACCAGTCCCAATGAGATGAACCAGGTACCTCAGTTGGAAATGCAGAAATCACCCATCTTCTGCACCATTCACACTGGGAGCAGCAAACCAGAGCTGTTCCTATTGGGCAGTCTTGGAACAGACCCAAGAATTTTTTAGATTGATTCTGCAACCACTCTAGTCAGTTGTTAAGAAAGTAGATATTAAACAAGAAAATATTATCGAGGTAAATTTTGTGGCTGATACGGCCTCTGAGGCTGAGTTGTAAACACAAACATAATATGTAAATAGCATCTGCTTTCATAAACTTGGGAAAAGCCTTTCGTGATGATTAATAGTGAGTGTCAACTTGATTTGATGGAAATATGCTAAGTGTTGTTCCTGGATTTTTCTGTAAGGGTGTTGCCAAAGGAGATTAACATTTGAGTCAGTGGACTGGGAAAGGCAGACCCGCCCTCAAACTATGTGGGTACAATCTAATCAGCTGCCAGCGTGGCCAGAATAAAAGCAGTTAGAAGAATGTAGAAAGACTAGACTGGCTTAGCCTCCCAGCGTACATCTTTCTCCCATGCTGGATGCTTCTGGCCCTTGAACATCAGACTCCAAGTTCTTCAGCTTTGGGATTCAGACTGGCTTCCTTGCCTGTCAGCTTCCAGATGGCCTATTGCGGGACCTTGTGATCATGTGTGTCAATACACCTTAATAAACTCCCTTTTATATATACATCCATCTTATTAGTTCTGTCCCTCTAGAGAACCATGACTAATACACCTTTGTAAAATACACAGTGGAAAGACAGCAGCATGATCACATATAAGAGGAAAATGATGCATGTTCTTTATATGCAGATAGACATAAAAGTGAATTTGTAAACATTAATATATGCATACATATTGAGATATATATATGCATACATATATATATATCTGTGTGTGTATATATGCATGATATATATATGTATCTTGATTGGGGCTTACTGTATATATATATACAGTTATACAAATACATATATATATATACACACACACACACACATGTACATATATATATAGTTAACCCCAATATATATATATACACACATATATTTCTGCGTGTATGTGTGTGTGTGTGTGTATATATATGTGTGTGTGTGTATATATATATCTTGATTGGGGCTAACTATATATATACACACACATATATTATATATATATATAACTTTATATATTTTATATATATCTGTAAATATATATACACTTAGCCCTAATCAAGGATTTAAAAGAATTTTGTTTAATACATCTGTACTAAAAGTGTACAGACTTTTTTTCTTGTCAGTTGTCCCTAAACAATACAGTATAACAACTATTTACGTAACATTTACATTGTATTAGATATTACAGATAATCGAGAGATGATTTAAAGTGTATGGGAGGATGTGCATATATTATATGCAAACACTACCTCATTTTATATCAGGGACTTGAGTGTATGCAAATTTTGGTATCTCCTGAATGTCTTAGAACAAATTCCCCACAATTACTGAGGGACCACTGTACTCACATATACTATATAATTTTTTTTTTTGCCACACTTATACAAAAACTTTGCTAGGGAAGGGATAAGATTAGCTGTTTAATGTTACAAGGTCTAGAATATTTACTCTGTTTATCTGCTACTACCAACATGTGCACTGATGAAAGCATCCTTATCTATATATTGGTAAACAAGCAATTTGGGTTTATTACTAACAGTGAATATGACACAAGGAACTTTAAAACAATTATGTTGTAGATTGTAGATTGTTTTACTGTCACCATGCTATATAAATTAAAACTTGATAGACTGCAAGAGCTGCATAAAGTATATGTATAAAAAATATAGATATAGATATATATAAAACCACCTTCATATACTATTTCAGATAATTACCAATTGCAGTACAATGTCTAACAAATGACAGACTGTTTTTAATATTTCTTCAGATTTGTGAATTTATAAAAAAATATTCAGTTTTTTGATGGCTTTTATGTTTCCATGCCACAGGAAAGCTATATACATGTAATGCCACAGGGCATTACATGTATATAGCTTCAAGGTAAATTTTTTCCCAGATTTCTGAATCATAGTCTACTCCTGTAAACCAGTCATGTTCTCTGTAAGTAATGCTTTATCTTCCTGTAAGAGCCAAGGTGAGGATCTTACCACTGGGTATACTGGAGTAAACAACCAGTTGTGTGCTATTGTTATATGCATGCATGCATGAATGTGCATAATTTCAGGGCTAAAGAGGCCCTAGTGGTTCTAATTCTACCCTCAATTAAAATAATCAATTAGACCATTAGGACACAGTTATTCTTAATACATTTCATTCATTATTGTTTTTAGTATGAAATCATACCTTCAATTTCAAGAAATAAGTATAAAATCACCACACTTTCTCTTTTCCTAGCAATTTCCTAGGCATCACTAACAATAAAATAAGGAAGAAACATAATACCTATATCACAGCAGAGATTTTATTAAAACTAAGCATTTATTAACTTTCACAATAGTACTGTGAATAGGAATTTTGTTCATTAAATGCTAATTTCTCATTGCTTATGCTATGTATTGTAATCATGCTTAGTGTTTTTTTTCTGTATCATATATATTTGCTATCATGTAGCTTGTTTCCCTATGATTAGAGAATAGTGCTTTGTGACCAATTTTACTTCTTGTCAAGAGGAGTTCATTTTAACTTCTAGGTCAAGAACAAATGATTTTAGATTGTCTAAAGAATAATCTTATCAGAATGCTTTTGTCAAGGTTGGACAATTAGTAATGCTATATCATCTTAGGGCCATTTCTATTTATGTTGTCATTCACAAATGTTACTTTATGAAGTAAATTCTCTTTTCTAAAAAAATACTAAGGAAATTTCATAATAACATTAAATTTTTTTAATTCATTTTTTTCTTTCTGGAAGAAATTAAAACACACACCTAGAGAGTAAAGTAGAATGTCTATTTTTGTTTATGGAACTGATGGCTGAGATTTCCAGCACTTTGTGGAATTCTGCACAAACTTTTATGACTGTTGCTGAATGAATTACAGAACATATAAAAGTCGATTTAAGGGGTATAAAGAAACACATGGATTTCACTCCTAATTTCAATTTGACAAATAAGCACAGTTCTCTTTTCCCAAAATCTGTTCCTTCTCCAAAAAGAGAGATCTCATTTAAATAGGCAGGTTTACCTCTGATTTTGGAAAACATAATGAGAGACAGAATTTTTCTTATACAGTCAAATTATCACAGTGTAATTTGAACTCAGGAGACATTCCAAAGAACTGCTTCTGTGTAGTGAATCCCTTCCATCAACATTTACTCTCTCAGGTCCTTCCCTTACCTATCATTCCAAAACATAAAAATAATGAAATATCTCCCTTAATCCCATTTCCTCCTGAAGCTAATATATCTCCTCTCTTCCTTATTACAAATAAATATAAATGAAATTAGTACCTAAACTCATCTTCACTTTCTCATCAACCTACTATTCCTCAAAGTGTTTGTATTTCTCTTGGTTTGGAATATCCAGAGCAGCTGCTGAGATAAAGTTTGCCATGAGAGGTATTAATTGGGAATCAACACCTGTGAATGGATGTGAGAAGATGCAGGATTGAGCAGAGGGAGAAAATAAGCTGGGTACTGGCTGGCCAAAATGTAAGCCAATGCAAGGAGGAATTTGGGAAGGTATTACCAGTCAGAATATCCCACATTGGACTGAAAATACTCGTACCTTGCTCAGCAATCTGATGTGTGTTGCCCATGGAAAGGAATGGCCTGGTGTCTGCTCTCTGAAGCTTATGCGTAGCCCCAAAGGATTGACTCTAGAGGCTGCATGCTGACCACCTTCCCTGCTGCTGGGCAGCAAATCTGTCTTTGAAGAGGAATTGGAATAGCAATTCTTCTTGTCCTCCACAGCACTCCGTTATGGCTTTTCCAATTTTTCAGCATAGCTTCTCTAGCAAAGATCACCAATGATCATCTCTAAATTTAATATAATTTCCAGCCTTATGTTATTTGGCCTCTGTTACAAACATGAGTATTATATTCATTCTGCCTTGGCTATTAAAACAGAAAAGTCTTAGTTTACATCGTCAAGTTCTGCTCTCCAGATCCCTATGCATTTCTATATTTGCAACTGAAGAAAATAGAAACATTTATATGTTTCTCTGCAATATTCCCTCATTCAAAAAGATGGATTTTTCTGCCTTGTTCTTTTTAGTTTCTAAAATGCAGAGTCCAACCAGGAAAAAAATTAACCATTCTATAAAGGTTGTTTTTAAGGAGAACAATGTTTGTATGGCAATTACACCACAATCAATAGAAAGATTCTGCACACCCTGATTTGCAGTAAATTCTGGGTTTAAATTTAGAGACATTTCTTGCATTGTTCATTTGGCTGCTTTTATTGAACTATTACAAGAATTAGGGGGAAAATGGCTTCTTAGAACAGTTTAGTCATCATGAGCATTGCTTCTGGTTTGTTTCTGCCTTGTTTAATTAGTTGAGGTTGATACACACCACCTAGTTTCATAGACGTTGCTTATTGCTAAACATGACAACCCCATTAAAAGTTACCTTGTGAAGTACAAAAACCAAAATACATGATATATAACATAGCATAAAACCAAGCCCAGTCTTAACAATAGTCTGGAACAAAGGATATTAGAATAATTGCTGTTGCTGCTACCTAAGAAGCTTCTATATATGTAAAAGGAATATGTTTTCACTTTACACATATAAAATTTACTCTTCACCAAAAAGAAAACATTAAGGTAAGTGTTACAATATTCATTCAATAGAAGAGGAAATTGAAGTCTAACGAGGTTTTTTAAAATGCAGAGTCAAGAATCAAATTCAAAACCACAGTGTCTTTGATTCTTCTAACAACGCCTAACTCAACTCTCACTCTAAAGGCAGGAAGTTGTTTGCTGTGTTCTCTCATTTATACCCCTCCCACAATTGTTCCAAACATTCTGAACTCTTCAATTCCTTGAAAAAGGTCCTTATTGGCGCCTGCTGTTCTTTTTGCCTGTACCACTCACAATCTCCCTTTCTTGCTCTGCCCCTGTGGCTCCCTGTTGCCTTACCAACTCCTTTTCATCTTTTAGATTCAACTTCCAGCTCACTTATTCAGGGACGGAATAGCCATCCTCCCAAGAAAGGTTAAGACTGTCTTCCTTCTGAAAAAACTCCTGATTTCTCCTATAGAGGACTTCATGAATTTAGTAGTCTCTTCTTAATAACTTGAATTATTACATGAAATAAATGGTCTGAATTAAAACTCAAGTACAGATGAGAAACTTAAGTCATAATTTCCTTCTCCTTCTCCCAGTCCAACTCCCTGAATTAATCATTGGTAAGATTAACTTTTTGATATTTCTATTTTCTTTTAATTCAAAGATACATGTGCATATTTACAGACTTTATTAAAAAGGAATGTTATACATGTATATTTTTATATATAACTTATACAAAATATTTTGTGGGTTTGTTTACCTTAATTTATTTTATACATGTATATCTTATGTAATAGTTTATTTTATATCAAAGTGGGGGGTATGCCAATATTAATTCAATATTCCCACTATTGTTAGGAATTCAGGTTGTTTCAATTTTTTTGCTACAATAAATATCTTTGTACATATATCTAATTACTGCTTCTTTTATATTTTGACTGAATTTCCATAAGAAGAAATGCTAAGTTAAGAGGTGGGCCTACTTTTAGTATATATTAAAAGGGTTTATTCCAGAAATCTTATGGTAAATTATACCTCTACTAAGAGTATAAAAGAGCACTCATATTCCCGTGTCTACCATCATGTTTGTGCCATCGCTGGATGATTTCAGTTCCTCTTTATCTTTTAAGAATTTAATGGGAAACATTATATTTCATAATTTGTATGCATATTTCTCTGACTACTAGTATACTTATTTTTACACATTTATTGACCTTTGCATTTCTTTTAAAATAAATAATCTGTTCATTTTCTCTGTGCTTTTTTTTCTTAATTTAAAAAAAAATTTATGTAAATATGCCATGTTCCCCTTTATGGTTGTCACATATTTGATCTTGTTTTAGTCCTCTCCCATTTAAAAATTATGTACATATTCTCTTCTTCTAACACTTTCATATCTTATGTTTGAAAATCTGTTTATGTCCGAGTCTATTTAATTATAAGCTACTCTCCCTGAAAGAAGGGCCTATGTCTATTTATTGCAATATTTCTAGTGGTAAGAATACTAACATAGAGGAGATATAATATATATATATCTGCATAACTAATCAATGAGCCTTTTTACTGGTTAAAATAAAATAGTAACCAAATTTTTTATTTTTTTTCTTATTTTCTTATTTTTCTTATTTTCTTTTTTTCTTATTTTCTTTCAAGTTTCAGGTTTTCAATAAGTAAAATTATGAAATTATTTTGTCTGTACCTCTGTACCATATTTCTCTTGCTTGTTCATTTTTTCAGTTTAACCTCTTTCTTCATTTTGATTCTGGTCTCTCAGACACCTCTTGAGCCGATAAGTCTACTGTGGCCCAAAACATTTCTCTCATTACCCAGAGAGATATTTCAGATCAGTTATCTCCTCCTGAGATGTATGACTGGTGATGAAGTTTGAAATTCTGACTCTTCCAGAAAAGACCACCTTTGTTTCCTTTGTCTTTCCAGCAACTGCTTATTTATCTCTTAAGTTTCATGTTCAAATTTCATGAATAATAACACTTTTTATATTTTCTGGAACAGACATATGTAGGATTTTAGATCTAGGACTTCAGATATATATATACTTTTTCTTTCTGAAACCATGGGTGGGTTTCAGAAAGTACAGTCATGACAAATATCTACTCAGTTGGTTCATCCTGGATTTGCACTTTTCTACCTGCTATTACACTGGTATTTTTATCTCAAAAGTAGAGGCAGGTTTATTGAAGAGGCAATTAAAAATAAGTTTCAAGGCTTTCTCTCACAAGGTCTCCATTAACTCTGTACCTAATATATGTTTAAAATTTTAATTTTTCTCCTTAAGGGTTTGTCCTTCATATTGTGTATGCTTCAGGCTCTACTTAAGTCCACTCTTAAAATCACTTGTGTGCTTTCTGCACTTCTTACCTATTGTGAACCCTCTCTTGTGTTAAATTATGTTGTTTTCTTCTTCCTTGGTGAAACTTCTGTTAGTTTTTAATTTCTTATGACTTCTAGTAGTTCCTTGTGAATCTTTTTTTTTTTTTTTTTACTTAGTCCCAGTTCTTCACTTGAAAATCCTAGAGAAGCAAAAAAAAAAAAATGCATCATTGTTTACCACAATTCACCATCATTACCAACTTGCTTGTGGTGATGATTGGCTCTACCATCATTTAAAAACAACAACAAAGAACTTCAAAGTATTTGTATTAACTTAACATTTCTATGTTTAGATACTAAGTATATTTTTTCCAATTTTTTATTGTGGTAAAATACACATAAGATTTATCATCTTAACCATTTTAAGTGGTGGTAAATACATTCATAATGTTATGCAAACATCACCACCATCCATCTGCATAACTTGCTTGTCATCTTGTAAAATGAAAACTCTATACCCATCAAATAATAGCTTCCCATTCTCTTCTCCCCCAGCTCCTGACAATCACCATTCTGTTTTCTGTCTCTATGATTTTGACTCTTGTAAGTATCTTATATAAAGGAATCATATAATATTTGTCCTTTTTTGACTGGCTTATTTCGCTTAGCACAATATCCTCAGGATTCATCCATGCTGTGGCATGTATTAAAATTTCATTCCTTATTAAAGCTTTCTTAATTTCTACCTCATTTTTGAAAAAAAGAAACAGCAATTTTGCCAGACAATTTAGCACTTGGGCTAACAATTTGCTTTTAATTTCTTTTTCTTTTGGTACTTTGAATATATCAGTTCACTGGCTTCTAGAAAGCCTCTGAGCTTTCTAATAAGAAATTTGCTGATAACCTGATTCAGGATCACTTACATAGGACAGCACACTTCTTTCTTGCTGGTTTCAAGATTCATTTTCTTTTTCTTTTCAAAGCTTGATTATAATCAAGCTGTATTGGTATGAGTCTTCTTGAGTTTATCTACTTGGACTTCCTTAAAATTCTTGGATGTTTATATTTATGTCTTTCATCAGATTTGGGAAGTTTTCAGCCATTATTTTGTTTTCCAATATCCTTTCCTCCCCCACCATCTCTTCTTCTGTAACTACCACAACACATAAGTTGGCACATTTGATGTTGTCCCACAGATTGCTAAGGCCTGTTCACTTTTTAAAGATCGTTTTCTTCCTATTCGTTAGACATAATAAATTTAATTATCCCATCTTCAAATTTGTTGATTCTTTCTTCTTTCTATACAATTTTGCATTTGAATTGCTCCAGTAAAATTTTCAATTCAGTTATTGTACTTTTCAGCTCCAGAATTTCTTTTTGTTTTCTTTTTAGGTTTTTCATGTATTTATTGATATTTTTATTTTATTCATACATTGTTTTGATGACATTATTACATTCTTCTTTAGTTCACAGTTGCTTCAAATCTTTGTCTTAGAGACCTGCCATCTGGTCTTTTTCAGTGGCAGTTTCTGTTGATTTATTGTACTTTTTATCTTTGAATGAGCCTTACTTTCCTGATTCTTTGTATGTCTTGTAATTTTTTGTTGAAAACTAGACATTTGAATCTAATAATGTGGTAACTCTGGAAATCAGATTCTCCCCTTTTCCTGAGGTTTGATGATTTTTGTTCTGGAGATTGTTTTTTTTGTTTGATTTTGTATGCTGACTCTGTGCCAAGGATCGGCCTGAGGTGTAAAATTAAAGTCATCTCAGGTTTTTCTTGAGCCTTTCCATGCACTTCAATGATTATTTTCTAAATTTCCTCATATATGGAGTTTTTTAATGTCTTAGTCTTTAATATCTGACTTCCAAAAAGGAAAAACAGATAAATAAAGGAGGGGAGAAGGATGCCAGAACTTTGAATTCCATGGCATTCACTTCAACTGCAGGTGAGAAGCTAGGAAGAATGGGTGGAGGTAAAAACTAATGGCTGCTCTTTGTCTACACCTCTGTGATCAGAAGCAGCCATCAGCAATAGATGGGGATCCTTAATCCTGATGTTTAAAAAACAGGGTCCTTTTGATTCACCCTGGCTACACAAGCTATGCAAGAGCTGCTCCAGGAAGAGTTCACAGCTGCATGCCTTGAAGCTAGAGGAGGGGAATGAGTAGCTGTTAGTCTGCTAAGCGCTGATATTGATCAAAATGAACTGCAATTTTTCATCCAAGCCTTCCACTGGAAGTTATAATTCTTCAGTAGACTATAGAGTTCCAAAATAGTTTCCTCAAATTCTGCCAGTGCAATTGTTGCTTAGGTGGGGAGCATCAGATTCCTGATGCTTCCTACTCTGCCATCTTCTTAGAATCCTCAGTCAGTTAATTTTTTTTTAATTTCTTGAATCTGTTATTTTTTTCAAATGCTTTTAGCTTTGAGTTTACTCATCACTCTGCGCTAGTTTTTTGCTTCAATGTCTTTTTTGCCTTCTTGACTTTGATTACACTTATAAAAATCAAACTGAGACTTAGCTACTAAAGGAATATGTGTTAATAGCTATTTTCAGGTATTTGCTGTATTTAAGAACTTATTGTATGTGGTGATGTCAGCAACATGGTGGAATAGAGGATCTTGACTTCCCCTACATGTTTGAATGCACCAAATAAACATCTATTCATGGATCAATTCCCTCAAAAAAGTGAGAAAATGATTGAGAGACTCCTGCCCATCAGGCAACTGAGAAAACATCCATATAGAACAAGTAGGAATGGCTGAGAACACTGGGGGCATGGACCCCACCCTGGGCACAGAGCCATACAACCAGGAAAGAAATCTCAAACACTCAGCTTCTCCCTGTGGAGAGGAGGGTTTGGATTTCACATATACTGCCCTAACTCTAAGGTCCTCATAGTTTTGCTTTTATGTAATCAATTTGGAAAGGACAGAGGATTAGGTATATTCTTGTCTAAGATAAAAATTAGATCACAGTAAAAACGTGCAGGTTTTATTAGGGTATGCAAGCACTTGCATGGCTCCTCTGAAGTAGTGCAGAGAAGGTACTTAAAAATGCACTTGCTTGATTTTCTCTGGAATGGATTTAAAACACACTCTCCAGTGGCTACTTGGCAGCCTGGATTCTAATTAACTGTCATTGGAGAGTTAAAGAGGCAAACAAACAGTAACCTACCAACAGTGTGAGAAGATCAGCACTTCCAGAACCTTCTCTCCCAGCTCACACTAGTGGTAACTCCAGGTCACTAAATCCCTTCTGGAAAGTGTTTGCCTACACATGATGCACCTTCAACTTTTACAGCTTCCACCTGGGAGACTATACCTTAAACTTCCTAGCTCTGGGAGCAGAGGGGAGTAGGCACACCTGAATCTCTCTAGACAACAGACAAAGGGGAAAGTTTTATAAGGGTATGCAAGTACTTCCAAGGCCTTTATCCCCTGGAAGCAGTACAGAAAGGGGCTTTTAAAATACAGCTCACTGTTTCTTCCTAGAAGAGATTTATGCCACGAAACAGGGATTGTAACTTTTACAAAACCACCCGAGGGACTGCATATTAAAACTTTTAGCTCTGGGAGCACAAGAGACTAGACATACGGGAGCCTCCCCAGATCACAGAATAGAGATGTGGTTTTAAACAGGTGCTCAAACACATCCAGGGGCTAAACTTCCTAGGAACAGTGCAGCAAAGCGGTTTGAAGATGCAGCTCCCATTTTCTCTCTGGAAGGAGTTTATTGCATACTCTTTCATTGGCTCCTTAAGGGGCCTGGCTTCTAATAAACTTGCACTGGGGAGCTAATGGTGCAAACAGTAGCTCTCAGGCAGCCCAAACTGGAGCTTGGCACTTCAGAGGCTTTCTTTCAGCTTGCCACAGTGATAAATCCAGGTGTACCCATTCGTCCTGTAAGAAAGTTTTCTCTGCACTGAGCCATAATGTCTGTAACTCCTACCCAAGTGTTACTGGTGGAACGTCATGACTATCAGTTGTCCAGGTTCTTGGCATTTTGAACAAAGAACTGGACAGAACACAAAAATCAAGGAAAGAATGAAGCAATGAAAGCAAAGATTTATTAAAATAAAAGTACACTCCACAGAGTGGAAAAGGGCTAGAGCAAGAGGGTCAAGAGCCCTGGTTACAGAATTTTCTGGGATTTAAATATCCTCTAGAGGTGTCCCATTGGTTACTTGGTTTGTACCCTATGTAAACGAAGCAGTGGCTTGTGAGAAGTCTGATTGGTTGCAGAGACTGAAGTGAAGTTACAAAGTTACACCCTATGCAAACATCTGATGGGTTGCAGGAAGGGACCAAACAGAGGTATTTTCAATTTTTCATGAGCCATACAGAAAAAGGCCAGGGGCATTGCAAAGGGAGTAGACTCTGGTTCTTTTGTTACATGGGTGTGGAAAGTTGGGTTATCCCTTTGACTTAGCACTAGGAAGTCAGTGTTAGTCGACCTTAGGTTCCCTGCCTCCAGACCCTATTCTCCAGCCTCACAAGGAACTGTCTCTTTAATGACCTAGCTCTGGGAGTCATGGGGTTTTGTATCTTGAGTGGCCCTAAACTACAGAAAACAAAGAGGTGGACATACAACAGATCCACTTCCAGCAGCTATATCTCCAGGATCACAGAGTCTAGCCTAAACACAAATATAGGCATTTGATACAGATCTTCTCCCTAGCTGAATGCAAAGACAGTGAGAGATAAATGCCTGCACTCAGCTTCACCATGCAGATAGAAGGAAGTGGAACATACATCCAATACTCAACCTTTCTAGCTACATCAAGAGGGTATGGCTTCTACCTTACTGGTCTTAAGGTTCTGATAGGACATGACAAATCCTAATCCCCAGGGGGCCACCAAGTACAGAGATAGCAGTTTTAACAAACACAAAGATTTGAGAGGTATCTTAAATTCTCTGGCCTAATAGATTAGTGGGATTTTTATCCTATATGAGGACAATCTGACAAGACTGAGAGAATCAGTTATTTTTACAAGGCACCGGATGCACAAAAACCAACACAGAAGGTCAAGAAAAGTGAAGAAACAAGAAAATACAATTCAAATGAAAGAACAAGATAAATCTCCAGAAACTCCAAAATCAGTTGTAAGAAAAAAAATTATAGCAATAAATGTCTGCATTAAAACAGGAGAAATATCTCAAATAAGCAACATAACATTGCACCTTAAGGAACTAGAAGAAACAAATTAAGCCCAATGTTAGCAGAAGTTAGGAGACAGCAAATATCAGACTAGAGATAAATGAAACAGAAACTAGAAAGACAATAGAAAAGATCAACAAAACTGAGTCAGTTTTTCTAAGAGTCAGTTTTTTGAAAAGCTAAACAAAATTGACAAACACTTAGCTAGACTAACCAGGTGAAAAAGAGAAGAACCTCAAATAAATAAAATTAGAAATGAAAGGGAAGATATTATAGCAGAGAAATACAGGTTAGCTAAGAAACTACTATGAATAACTATATGTCAACAAATTCAACAACCTCATAAATAAATAAATTTCTAGAAACATATAACCTTCCAAGACTGAATTACAAAGAAATTGTAAATCTGAACAGACCAATAACAATCCAGGAAACTGAATTGTTAATTAAAGTCTCCTATCAAAGAAAAGCCCAGGATAAGATAATTTTATGACTGGATTCTACCAAACATTTAAAGAAGAACTAATATCAATTCCTCTCAAACTATTTCAAAAAATCTAAAAGAAGGGAATGCTTCCAATCTCATTTTACAAGGCCAGCATTACATTGATACCAAAACCAGAAAAAGACGCTACAAAAAAAAAAAAAAGAAAGAAAACTGCAAGCCAACATCACTGATGAACATAAGTGCAAAAGTCCTCAATGAAATACTAGCAAGCTATATTCAACAGTATATTAAATGGGTCATTCACCACAATCAAATGGGATTGATCCCTGGGTTGCAAGAGTGGTTCAACATATGTCAATCAATAAATGTGATATACCGTTATAACAAAGTGAAGGACAGAAACCACATGATCATTTCAATAGACACAGAAAAGGCATTTGACAAAATTCAATGTCCTTTTATAATTAAAATTATCAACAAACTGAGTATGTAAGAAATGTCCTTCAACACCATAAAGATCATATATGTCAAGACGCAGCTAACATCATACATAGTGAAAAGTTGAAGGCTTTTCTTCTAAGATCAAGAATAAAACAACTATTCCTACTTTTATCACTTCTGTTCAACAAAAAGTTCTAGCCAGAGCAATTAGGAAAGAAAAATAAGCAAAGGCATCCAAATGGAAGAGGTAGTAAAATTATCTCTATTTGCAGGTGACATAATCTTATATACGGGAAATCTAAAGACTGTACCAAGAAACTGTTAGAACTGATAAACAAATTCAGTAAAGTTGCAGGATAAAAAATTAACCCACAAAAATCAGTAGCACGCTCACAATAAACTAGCTGAAAAAGAAATTTTAAAAGTCCCATTTGTAATAGCATAAAAATAAATTAATTATGATTCAACTCACCCAAGGAGGTGAAAGAGCTATATACTGAAAACTATATAACATTGTTGAAAAAAGTTGAAGAGGACACAAATAAATGGCATATCCCATGTTCATAGATTGAAAGACTTAGTATTGTTAAAATGTCCATACTGCCCAAGCTATCAACATATTCAATGCAATTACTATTAATTCTGTTATTCTTCACCAAAATAGAAAAAAGAATTCTATAATTTGTGTGGAACCACAAAAGGCGCCAAATAGCCAAAGTAATTTTGACCAAAACCCAAAAACTGAAGGCATCACACTAGCAGATTTCAAAATACATTATAAAGCTATAGGATTCAAAACAACATGATACTGTCATAAAAACGACACATTAACAAATAGAATAGGATTAAAAGCCCAAAAATAAATCCACACAGCTATGGTCGATTAATTTCTGACAAAAGTGCCAAGAACATACAATGGAGAAAGGATAATCTTTTTAGTAAATGATGTTATGAGTTGGATATCCATGTGCAGAAGAATAAAAATGAAACCTTATCTTACCCCTTATGTAAGAATCAATTCAAAATGGATTAAACATGTAAACATAAGATCTGAAATTGCAAAACTACTAGAAGAAAATACAAAACACAGGGGAAAACCTCCATAATACTGGTCTGGGTAGTGATTTCACAGATAAGACCCCAAAATTGCCGGCCACAAAAGCAAAAATAGACAAATTACATTACATCAAACCAAAAAGCTTCCAAACAATAAAGGAAACAAGAGAGTTAAGATATGACTTAAAGATTGGAAGAAAGTATTTTCAAATGATACATTGAGTAAGAGGCTAATATTCAAAATATTTGATGAACTCAAACTATACAATAATAAGAAAACAAATAACCCTATTGAACAATGGACAAAGGACCTGAATAGACATTTCTCAAAAGAAGACATAAAAATGGCCAACATATATATGACAAATGCTCAAAAAAAACTAATAATCAGGAAAATGCAAATTGCAACCACATGAGTTATCACCTTATACCCATTAACAAAATGACTAAAGCTAATAAATGTGAGGATGTAGAGAAAAGGAAACTCTTTCCCACTGTTGGTGGTATTGTAATGTGCACAGCCATTTTAAAAAACAGTATAAAGTTTCCTCAGAAACTACAAATAGAATTACCATATGATCCAGCAATTGTACTTCCAGGCACATATCCAAAGGAATTGAATGACAGCACATCTGCTGAATGACAGCACATCTGTTGAAATAAATATGTTGAAGAGGCATTGACACTCCCATGTTCATCACAGCATTATTCACGATAGTCAAGATACAAAAACAAAGTGTCAATCAACAGATGAATGGCTTAAAACATGTGGCATAGATACACAATAGAAACCTATTCAGCCTTAAAAAAGCAGGAAATTATGTCATTTTATACAACATGAATGAACTTGGGGACATTATACTAAGGGAAATACGCCAAGCACAGAGAGATAAATACTGTCTGATCTCATTTATGTGTAAAATCTAAAAAAGTCAAACTCATAGAAGTTAGGTTTGGTTGGAGAGTGAATCAGGAAAGGGGAGATATTGCTCAAAGGATGCAAAAAGTTTTAGTTAGAAAGAATAAGTTCTGGTAACCTGGTGTGCAGCATGATGACTATAGTTAATAAGAATATTATTTATTTTATAATTAAAAATAGGCAAAAGAGAGGATTTAAAATGTTTTCATTACAAATAAATGATAAATATTTTAGGTGATGAATATATTGATTAGCCTGATTTGATCATTGCACACTATATACATGCTTCAAAACATCACATTGTACCCATATATGTATACAATTATTACTCATCAATTACAAATAAAAATATTTTTAAATAAAAAGAACACATGACATCTCTATCAAACTAGATTAAAATGCTATAGTCTGAGATTTACAATCCTACTGCTGTTTAACAATATCAAAACCTCCACCCTATTTCAATGTCAAATTTCATTTACCTTTAAACAAGGATTTTGTATCCTCTGTATTATTGCAATTTTGGTCTATATAATTAATTTCTTGCTAACCTCTGCATTGTATGATATTTATTAACATCCCTGGACTCTATCCAATTGATGTCAGTGGCATTCTCCACCCTCAAGTTGCAACAGCTAAACATGTTTCCGTACATCACCAAATGATCCATGGAAAGAAAATCTCCTCCTTTTGAGAACCTTTGCTTTAACCGTAAGCTATTACTAGAAATTTCATATTTAGAAAGTACCTATTAGTTTCCATTTACAGGCATACCTCTTTTTATTGTGCTTGGCTTTATTACATTTCTCAGATATTGAATTTTTTATGAAGTGAAGGTTTGTAGCAACCCTGCATTGAGCAAGTCAACTGGCACCATTTTTTAACACCATGTGTTCTCTCTGTGTCTTTCTGTCAAATTTGGAAATTCTAGCAATATTCTAAACTTCTGCATTATTATTATATTTGTTATAGTAATTTGTGATCAATAATTTTTGATGTTCCTACTGTAATTGTTTTTGGGCACCAAAAACATATACAATAGTGAACTTAACTGATTAATGTTGTGTGTATTCTGACTGCTCTACATATGGGCCATTTCCTCCCAATTCCCTACTATACCACAATATTTAAATTAGGCCAATTAGTAACTGTACAACGGCCTCTAATGTTCAAGTTAAAGAAGGAGTCTTGTCCCTTGCTTTAAATCAAAAGCAGATAGAAATGACTAAGTTTAGTGAGAAAGACATGCCAAAAGCTGAGACAAGCCAAAAACTAAGCTTTTTGTGCCAAACACTTAGCCAAGTTATGAATGCACAGGAAAAATTCTTGAAAAAAAATAAAAAGTGAACACACAGATGATAAGAATGTGAAACAGTTTTATTGCTGAAATACAGAAAGTTTTAGTGGTCTAGATAGAAGTTCAAACCAGCCACATCATTCATTTAAGCCAAAACTCAATCCAGAGGAAGGCGCTCACTTTTTTCAATTCTGTGGAGGCTGAAAGAGGTGAGGAAGCTGCAGAAGAAGTTTGAAGCTGGCAGAGGTTGGTTCATGAGGTTTAAGGAAAAAGGCTGCCTTCATAAAATAAAAGTGCAAGGTAAAGCAGCAAGTTATTCATATCTAGCTAAGATCATTGATGGAGGTGGTTACACTAAACGAAAGATTTTTAATGTAGATGAAACAGCCTTCTTTTGGAAGACAATGTAATTTAGGACTTTGCTAGAGAGGAGAAGTCAATACCTGACTTCAAAGCATCAAAGGACAAGCTGACTCTCTTGTTAGGGGTTAATGCAGCTAGTGACTTAAAGCTGAAGCCAGTGCTCCTTTACCATTCTGAAAATCCTAAGACCCTTAAGAACTATGCTAAGTCTACTCTACCTGTGCTCTATAAATGGGACAACAAAGCCTGAATGACAGCACATCTGTTGGCAACATGATTTACTGAATATTTTAAGCTGTCCGTTTTGATATACTGCTCATTGATATAAAATATCAATGCTCATTGACAATGCACCTATTTGCCCAACAGGTCTGATAATGTACAAGAAGATTTTTTTTTTCTTTTTCATGCCTAGTAACACAACATCTTTTCTGTAGCCTATGAACCAAGGAGTAATTTTGATTTTCAAGATTTATTCCTTAAGAAATACATTCTGTCTTGGAAATGTGGGCTCTTTTTTTGGTTCCAGATGAACTTTAAAGTAGTTTTTTCCAATTCTGTGAAAAAGTCATTGGTAGCTTGATGGGGATGGCATTGAATCTATAAATTACCTTGGGCAGTATGGCCAATTATAAGCAAAAAGAACAAAGCTGGAGGGATCACGCTACCTGACTTCAAACTATACTACAATGCTACAGTGAGCAAAACAGCATGGTACTGGTACCAAAACAGATATATAGACCAATGCAACAGAACAGAGGCCTCAGAAATAACACCACACATCTACAACCATCTGATCTTTGACAAACCTGACAAAAACAGGAAATGGGGAAATGATTCCCTATGTAATAAATGATGCTGGGAAAACTGGCTAGCCATACGTAGAAAGCTGAAACTGGATCCCTTTCTTACACGTTATACAAAAATTAATTCAAGATGGATTAAAGACTTAAATGTTAGACATGAAACCATAAAAACTCTAGAAGAAAACCTAGGCAATACCATTCAGGACATAGGCATGGGCAAGTACTTCATGACTAAAACACCAAAAGCAATGGCAACAACAGCCAAAATAGACAAATGGGATCTAATTAAACTAAAGAGCTTCACACAGCAAAAGAAACTACCATCAGAGTGAGCATGCAACCTACAGAATGGGAGAAAATTTTTGTAATCTACCCATCTGACAAAGGGCTAATACCCAGAATCTACAAAGAACTTAAGCAAATTTTCAAGAAAAAAATAAACCATCCCATCAAAACGTGGGCAAAGGATATGAGCAGACACTTCTCAAAAGAAGACATTTATGCAGACAACAGACACATGAAAAAATGCTCATGATCATTGGTCATCAGAGAAATGCAAATCAGAACCACAATGAGATACCCTCTCACACCAGTTAGAATGGCGATCATTAAAAAGTCAGGAAACATCAGATGCTGGAGAGGATGTGGAGAAATAGGAAGAGTTTTACACTGTTGATGGGAGTGTAAATTAGTTCAACCATTGTGGAAGACAGTGTGGCGATTCCTCAAGGATCTAGAACTAGAAATACCATTTGACCCAGCAATCCCATTACTGGATATATACCCAAAGGATTATAAATCATGCTACTATAAAGGCACATGTACACATATGTTTATTGTGGCACTACTCAAAATAGGAAAGACTTGGAACCAACCCAAATGTCCATCATTGATAGACTGGATTAAGAAAATGTGGCACATATACACCATGGAATACTATGTAGCCATAAAAAAGGATGAGTTCATGTCCTTTGCAGGGACATGGATGAAGCTGGAAATCATCATTCTGAGCAAACTATCACAAGGACAGAAAACCAGGCACCGCATGTTCTCACTCATAGATGGGAGTTGAACAATGAGAACACTTGGACACAGGGAGGGGAATATCACACACTGGGGCCTGTCATGGGGTGGGAGGCTGGGGAAGGGATAGCATTAGGAGAAACACCCAATGTAAATGATGAGTTAATGGGTGCAGCAAACCAACATGGCACATGTATACCTGTGTAACAAACCTGCCCATTGTGCACATGTACCCTAGAACTTAAAGTATATAAAAAAAGAAAAAAATACACTCTGTAAGTCTATAAATGCTGTATAAAGTGAATTTATCTGATGGATCTGGGCAAACCAGACCTTTTGGAAATAATTCACTATTTTAGATGCCCTTGACAACATTTGTGACGCATCAGAGGAGGTCACAATATAAACATTAGCAAGAGTTTAGAATAAGTTGATTCCAGTACTCATGGATGGCTTTGAGGGGTTGAAGACTTCAGTGGAGGAAGTCATGGCAGATATGATGAAAAGAGTAAAATAACTTGAATTAAAGGTGGCATTTGAAGATATGACTGAATTGTTGCAGTATCATGATTACATTTGAATGGATGGATGAGTCTGCTTCTTATGGATGTGCAAAGAAATTGCTTTTTTTGAGATGGAGTCTACTGAAAATGCTTGTTGAGATGACAACAAAGTATTTCAAATATTACATAAACTTAGTTGATAAAGCAGTAGCAAGGTTTAAGAGAACTTAATTTAATTTTGGAATAAGTTCTACTGCAGGTAAAATGCCATCAAATATCATTACATGATGCAGAGAAATATTTTGTGAAAAGCTGAGTCAATTGATACACCAAGCTTTCTTGTTGTCTTATTTTGTAAAATAAGCTTGGGTGTCAGAGCCACCCCAACCTTCAGCAACCACAACGCTGATCAATTAGCAGCCATCAAAATTGAGGCAAGACCCTTCACCAGTAAAAATAATTACTACCCCCTAGAAGATCAGATGATTGTTAGAATTTTTTAGCAATAAGATCTTTTTATTAAGGAATATATATATTTTAGACATAATGCTATTATGCTATTGCACACATAATAGACTACAGTATAGTGTAAACACAACTTCTTCACGCACTGCAGAAAAAAATTAATGTGATTCACTTTATTTTGATGATCAGATTATCGGTGGTCTGGAACTGAACTTGCAATATGTCTGAGTTATTCCTATATTTTGATATTTATCTTTCTGTACCTTCTTTTAAATGTCACATATTCTTGGCATTTTATTCTTTATTTAAAATATTTATTCTGTTATCCTCCTGAAATTTCTTTTCACATTTTACACATCTTTACTTAAGGTGAGATTGGAAAAAATCCTTTGAATTCAGAATTTCATGTGCACTTGATTATTGTCTAATCAACACTATGAAAAAATGAGGTATTCAGAATAAAAGAGCAGTTTACCTTTCTCATGGTAAGTATCTTTTGGTAAGTAGAATAATGTAGGATGTGAGATGTATATTTTTGAAAGAGCTGAAGTAACATGAAACTAATAAAAATATTTAATGAAGCTAAACTGAAGATTTTATTAACATCATTTTTCTTCTTCGATTCTGTAGTAACAGCACTAATTTTCCTAGAAAGAAATGCTTCTTTCTTTGTAAATAATGCATCTTTCGGTTTTCTAAGAAAGTTTGGATTTATAGTTTAGCATAATTGATGCCAATTATAAAGAGGAGGTAAAATGTTTCCAGTAATTATTATGAATACAGAACAATAGTCAAAGCTGTGTTATGAAAACCATAGGTTGATAAACATACTTACTCTATTTAAAATCTATTCTAAATATTGAACAGAACTCCTTAAACATGTATTTGGTTATTAAGATCTGTTTCACCTTATTTTTAGATTCTAAGTAAATAAGTCTTATTAAACAAATGGAATATATTCATATAGTGACTACATACATATGTATTTGTTTGTACATATAAACATGCAACATGCAGACATCATTAATCATACTGGATCTAATTATTTATAAAAAGATGTATTCCCTTTGTTCTCTCATATCTGATATTAAATACATATGAAAATCAAGTTTATGAACATTTCCTGGATTGTGTTGAACTGCCCCAAGCACGTATATGAATTTCTGTGTGTTCAACATATGACACACAGACTGCCAATTTGAGCATTAGGAAAAATGCAACGAATTTTCCATTAAGTGTGCTCCCTTAGTGAACACCCTCTGTTTTTCTGGCAGGACCCAGCAGGATCTGAAAAATAAGCAGCATATTGGGAACAATAATGAATATTTATACTTTATGAAATCCTTTTTTCATTCATTTTCCATCTGCACTCCTAGACCCCAAAATTCTAAAATAGTAGATGGAGTAAAGAGAATTATGTTATAACTCCTTGGATTAGTGATAGAGAAACCTCAATGAGACTGCTAGCCTACTGATGCCTAGGCTATGCAGACGTATAATTGATTTAAACTGAAAAATATGTGCCTTTCTATTTAACACCTTTGGATTGTGTGATTTTTATACAATGAAAAATCCTATAAAATTGTGGACGAATAAGTGATGTGATTGACAAATATTGTTTGTAATGAGGAAGAAGAGGTCATTATTCAAAGTGCTAAAGGAGATGAGAAAAGCAAACAAAGGACATGCTGGGAAAAATAATGGTTTGAAGGAGAAAATAAGGAAGTTCAGGCATAGTTTTAACCGTAAATATGTTAATTCATAGACTTAAGAAAAAAAGCAAGATTGAAAAACTGTAGAGGAAACTATGTTGACATAATAATTTACATAGAGAAATTCAGGATGCATATTGCCCAGTGAGTCTCTTTTAATTAAATGCCTTAATTCATTTTACTTCAAGGGGCTTGTTGATTAAAGTGTTTATGGAAGTTTCCCGCTTGAAGTTTCAACAATCTATTTGGTAGTAAATGCTAGTAGATCACGCTTCTAACTATCCTGTGGCTATGTGCAGAAGAGTGCAAAACATCTGGCTAAAAATTGGAAATTTTTTCTGACAAGCTAGTATTTTACAAAATCCAAAGAATGAATGATACTTCAAAAATTGTTTATTTCTTGATTTGTTAGTTTGTAGTTTGGGGAAAGAGAGCAAAACTCTTTCTTTTTTTCTAAAAAATGTTAACTTTAAAATAGAAAACAAAATAAGTGACAAAACATACATTTTTGAAAGTAAAAACATGAGTAGTTTAACAAAATCAAGTAACATTTCTAATCAAATGAATGGCACTTCAATTTTAGAATTATTTTAGAATTATGCCTAATCTGAGGTGCCCTCACACTTATAACACAGTTCTAGCATAGAAACATAGTGGAGAAAAAGAGAACAAATCTTCAGCTTATTTAAAGAAACTGAATTCTAGAGATGGTGTCCATAATTTATTTCTCAATATGGAAATTGTGGATGACTTCATTCCTAAGCCATATGTATGGAATCTCAAAGCAACCAGTTGGAAATATTAACTTTTAGCTATGAAGGGCTGTGTGGGATTACAGAAAATCATGCCCACTTTAATCCTTGAACAAGAATAAAATAAATGCAAGGAGATTTTCTCCACTTGAAGTTTGTGTCTTAAAAAAAAAGTGTGACTTGATCAGATTCAGAGCTTAATTAAAGACCACTCACTCCATAATGAAAGAGCTACCATAAAGAAAATTTCAGCTGAGTTGCCAGTGTACATCTATCCTGTTAAAAAAAAAATAATTGAACAGCAAAGACTGTGACAGAAAAGTTTAAATGTTCTAGGGACTCTCTTAGACATTTGTTTGAAGTTTTTCTCAGCATTTTAAGCCTAAACCACTGCTGGATTCTCCCTGTTGGGAGGACATAAGTGTGAGAGATCACATGCCCAGGATTGAGCTCAAGATGTGCCGCATCAAACTGTTTACCCCTTGACCTCCTCTCCCTCCTCTGCTGGGCTACACATATTTCGTTTCCTCTAGATTAAGAAAAAAAATCAATTTTCACCAGTGAAAGGGCTTTTAAGTTAAAGCTAAATTCCCTGAAGTAAAAAAAAAAAAAAAAAAAAAAAAAAGACAAAAATCTCAACTTTTTCATAAACTGCACTAAAGACCAAATTTCTTATGTTATATTTTGAGGAAAGTTTCACCTATATCTCTGACTCTCTCTGTTTCCTACTTTTCTAAGTTACATAGAAATGCATTTGAAAAGAATGAAACGACTAATACCGCCATAAATGAAAGCCTATTATTTTCACTTTGAAGCGGTGTATTTTATCACCAAAGTATGACCTTTGAACTTAGCTAGACCTTTCATAATCTTTAAAAATACATTTGATTTCATCAAATATTTTTAAAACATTCAATTCTATTACACTTTACCTCAAATACTCTTGCAATAATAATAAACGGCCTTGTGTTCTCATCATGGTAACGTGAAAGGCTGGTGTTTATAGATTGAGTAAAAGTGAAGGACAATAAAATATTAAAACCACATCGGCATGAGGAACTTAGATTATCACATTCCCTCCAAGAATTTTTAAAGTGTTTCACAATCAGTGGTTTGTGTACTTAATTATGGTGGAATTAATTTGACCAAAATATTTCTAAAGTTAAAATTGTTTCCTTTTGGTTAAGATTCTTGAAATACAAACAATAGAGTTTAGGCTTACGAATATTTGTGAAACTTTAAACCTGGTCCTGAAGAATTGAGTTAAATACTTGAGATCTCGTGCATTTTTCCTTTAGCTGGTTAGAATTCAGTAACCACATATTCATCAACACTGTGGTGTTGGAAAGTGTGTGCTTCTGTTTATGAACCAGAAATATTGTTATAGCATGAACATGGCCCATATTTAAAATTATGCTAAATTGTCTTTAAGTTTGAGGCACAGGATTTCAATTAAACACACATATGCATGTATATAGAGAGCACATACTGTTGACAAATATTCTAAAAGTTCTAACTTCATATATAATTTCTATATTTTACAATGTGGTTTTATCCAAAGCATATTTCATCCTTCGTATTTTCTATGGCTAATTAGTTTGAATTATTAAGCATTAGTTTCCTAAAATAAACTTTGCCTGTCCTCTCTTTGAGGGCCCAGAAGCCTGAGTTTTCTACCATTAACCCTGGGTCATCATGTCATAAGAAATATTATTTATTATTTTCCCCCAAACCATCATGTTTCTATGAGAACTGTGCCCACTGATAAGCAAACAGTGGAGCATCTTTTTAAGTACCCTCCTTCAATATATAATGATTAAAGAAGAAACTGTTTCACATGATTGCTAAGTCATGTTGATGGTTTCTGTATCTCACATCAATATATTTAAATGCTAACTAAACATTTAACACATCACATAATGAATAATTAATTCATTTGCAAAATGAATCAACATGCTCAAAACATTGTGGTCTACTGTCAAGACCAAAAGAAATAGTGTCCAGGCCTACTTTAGGCTACTCAGAACTTTTTCTTCTAGGAACTTGTGTATACCTAAAATATCACACTTTAGCTTCATTTTCTTTACCTTGGGGAAAATGCTAGTTAAAATCACATACTCCAAGTGAATGTAACTTTAAATCTCTCATTCTTTGTAATGTTTCTTTTTGTATGAAGTTAAATAAATGTAATTATAAAAAAAACATAGCTTTTCAGTTCCGTATGGAAAGAGCTTGGAAATTGTCATTTTGTTCATCAAACAAAAAACAAAACAAAACAAAACAAAAAACCTGAACGGACTGAAAATCAATGACTGTTCTTGGACTGATCATGTAATTGAGGTAGAAGACCAAAAGACAAGAGCTGCATATAAGCACTATATTCTATTTGTAAGAAACAGTAAAGGTGTTTCTCTCAGGGATAGAGGTTGAAAATTCTGAAACTCTTATACATATATACTGGAATTGAACAAGTAAGTAAATGGATGGAAGATGGTGGGAGCCAGGTTTCTTCTGCTCCTGGAGTGAGAATTTATAGATAAGCAAAGAAAGAAGGCTAAAGTTATTCATGTTGTAATGAATTAGTGTTGAAGTTTAACACTAATCGGTTTAACATAGACATGAATGGCTACATAAGGAAATATTAATAGATATGTGTGTATACAGTGGTTAGTATACACACATATATTTCCTTGCTCTGTCAGCTGAGAGGGTCTAGAGATAATGATATCCTAGTAGTAATGGGCACATCTAGCTCCTAGATTTTGGTTTCTAATATTGTTTTCCAATAAAATAAAGCAGGGTTTCTTGAAAAAAAAAATGGCTGATCCTAAGATGGGGCAGAAAACATACAAGCTAGGTCTGAAGAATTTTATAGTGCTGTAAAGTAAGAAAGTGATAAAATCAAGACAAAACAATAAGAAAAAAACCCAGTAACACATTGATGGGGCTATATGAAAGTGACACAAGATCCAACTAAAAGAGTTCCCAGAAGCCACAGCTAGAATAATTTGACCAATAAAATAATGTAGTTGCAGATTCTAAGTAAAAGTTCGAAACAAATATGCATGAATCCAAACTGATGTAAAAATGGTTGAATATACACATGAATAGGAATGAGAGAAAAATTGTTTCAGGATTCCAAATAATTATAAAGATACTCTACCTTCAAGGAGGTGGAAAATAATTCTCTACTTCTTAGGTATGGGTTGTGCAAAGTGACTTTCTTCTAAAGAGTTCAATAAAAAAAAAAAAAGAGTAACTTTTCAGTGGAGAAACCTGACAAACACTATTTCATCCAGATGATCAAAGTAAATATAAACAGTGATTGCTAAGTAATGTTGATGGTTTGTACCCTTTGTATGTTGTCATGAAAATAGCAATTGGCCTCTGTGGTTTTCGTCCTCCAAAACACATAATTACAGTCTAATCATGAGAAAACTACAATATACATTTTGATTGAGACATTATACAAAATACTTGACCATTACTTCTCAAAACAATCAGTGACATCAAAATAAACTCTGAGAAACTGTCACAGCCAAGAGTAGCTGAAGGAGACAGGCAGCATTATGTGGTATTCTGAATGAAATCCTGGAGGAAAAGAAAAAAAAAAAGAAAGAAAAATCACAAAGTTATTTACTTTAGTAATATGTTGATATTGGTCATCAATTATAACAAATGGACTATACTAATGTAAGATTATAAAAATAGGGGCAATTAGATGTAAGGCATATGGAAATTTGTAATATCTTCGTAATTTGTAAATCTGAAACTATTATAAAATAATGTTTATTAAAAAATAACATGCATAGAATGAATGTGTAATATAATACTGTGAAAAGGACCTCCTATAATCCCATATCAATATGGCCGGCACACTTGTAAGGAAAAATTGTCAACCATGCACTTGACCTTGAGAACTCAAGGCCATAACCTAGTTCCAAAGGCATCACGGTGCATATGTTTAGAGCATAAATCAGACAGGCAGAGAAGGCACAGTTAAAGTGAAATGATAAATTTTTTTTAGATTAAGGGTTTCCATCGAGAGACTTGTAACAAAAATCCAAATCTTGAGAGGAAGAGGTAAAGGAGATTTAAATTATAAAACAAAATATTTGAGTTATTAACTTTTTGAAGTGTGTGGATGATGATGCCTGCAAAAATGTTGATGGCTTTTACTTGCTGGTATAATAGATTGCAACAATTGACTTATTTGGCATAAGCTCTTTGCTGAGAGTGTGTCTAAGTGATTTAACAACAATCAGTTAAATACTTTTTAATGCAGTCAAATATTTAACATATAATGCACAAAAGGTTTTTGAAGCAATTATGACATCTAAAAATTTTAATTTCTAAATGATGTTGAATTTCAATTAGAGATTGAATACATTATGAAAGTGCCTGTTTTGTGTTTTGATTCAGTTAAACTTATGATTAGCATTATGCTTTACATGCCTTTTCAAAAAAAAAGTCTACAACACTTTAACTTTCTTTGTGACAAACTGAAATTAATTTCAGCCCTGTAGTAAAAGGAAATTATTTAACCAAGTTTTATATTTATTGTAAATATATTAAGCATTATAGAAAACAGTGTTTAGACACAAAGCAAAGAGCTGAAAGAAGTTATGAATGAGTGAGCACACTCTATTGGGCTTGCAGAATACTTCTCTTCAGTACTAATTTAAATATTTACTGAATGTTAATATTCAGATTTAGATGTGTGTGCTTTTTATCCTAAAGGTCTAGGAAAGAAATGATGAATGTACAGCTCAGAATTAAAATAACCTATTTAAGAGAAAAGAGATTTTTAGCGTTCTGTTTTTGTTCTTATAGGAAACACAATTTATTTTCCTCACTGATCTTTTCCCTGATTCTTACATTTCAGTGCTTAACTATGTATTTTAGATTAAAAATGTATTTATGCATATCACAGTAAGGTATGAGGGTTATCACATGATAAAAATGTGAAATACATTATAAACCAGAGTGTTTGTGGAAAAGGAAACTCAGACAGAAACTTGGATTTAGGAGGTTTTCTAAGTTACTTTAACAAACGTGGAAGATTTTTAATTCATCTCCAACTTAAAGGAGATGTATCTTGCAGACTCTCACTGCTCTAAAGGGAATTTTCTTTTCTGCTCTTAGAGCATTATTTGCACAGAACTTTATAAAATTATAATACTAATTTGGGTGCATTTTGAAAAGTGTTAATGTTTTAAAAAGTCACTTCTACATAAAGGATTTTTAAATACATCCTAAGTTATTGGTCCAAAATCTTACATGATCTTCACAAAGAGTAATGACCATAGACCCAGGAAGCTTGGGCACCAGACATGGGCCCCACTTTATTTATTTTATTTTATTTTATTTTATTTTTTTTGAGACAGAGTCTCCCTATGTTGCCCAGGCTGGAGTGAGTGCAGTGAGGCAATGTCGGCTCACTGCAACCTCTGCCTCCCAGGTTCAAGCGAATCTCCTGCCTCAGCCTCCCAGTAGCTAGGATTACAGGCACGTACCACTATGCCCAGCTAATTTTTTGTATTTTTAGTAGAGATGGGGTTTCGCCATGTTAGCCAGGATGGTGTCGATCTCCTGACCTCGTGATCTGTCTGCCTTGGCCTCCAAAACTGCTGGGATTACAGGGGTGAACCACCACGCCTGGCCATGGGCCCCATTTATCCATATCTTCTGCTCTGGTCCTCCTTTAACTGTGCCTTGCTCCAGTCTTGAACTTAAGCTATGTTCTTTTATATCCCACACCTGTCTGGAACCATGCTCTAAGTCTAAAAGTAGTAACTGGTATCTTACTACTGACATGTGTATCTTACTACTGCATTGAAGTGTTGCATCATAGGGTTGAGGGTGGCCATTGGGTGGCTATTTATAGAAGTGAGTGTATAGAGCTTGAACATTCATACTGTCAAGCCCATTTGCATAAAGAATCCTCATAGTATAGAGCAGAGCCAGGTGTAAAATGGACCAAGGACAGGGAGCTCCATTTGTGGGAACTAAAATGTTAAGAGTGGATATTTTCGAATCAAGTTTCTCCCTGCTGCCTGAGGAATATTAATTTATTTTGAAAAATTAATTTTGAATGTAACATAAAAATGGTGACAGTGAAACAGGAGAGTTCCCTGATCCCCCTCACAGGATGTGCAAGAGGGGTGTGGCTGGCCTGTTAGGTCCCCCCACTGCTCAAACCCTTGCAGTCAAGGGAGCATGCAGACAGGCAGATGCAGAGGCCGGGGTGAGTGCTTTGGGCTCCAATCCTACAGCAGTGTTTAAGGTGTGGGTGCCTGTAAACCTAGTGTTACAAAACTCTTTCAGCTTTGCTGTCCACAGAATGCTTGAGTGTGACTCAGATCAATGGACCCTCTGCCTTTCTGCAAGGGCAGAGGGCCAGTGTAACAGCTTTCTGTATCCTGAGTTCTTGCCCCACTTCCAAGAAAAATTGGGTCACTCACAGGCTTGAAGGTTGAATGCAAGGTTTGAGTGATGGAGGTGACTTTCAGCGGGGTGGATGGGGAGCCAGAATGTAGGGATGGAGTGGGGAGGTGATCTTCCCCTGGAGTCAGGCTGCCCAGTTGTGGATTCCTCTCCAACCACCCCCAGCCAAACTCCTCTAGGCATTCGACTGTTCCTTCTCTCTTTTTCTGCGGCTTCATTCTGCAGTCCGTCCATGTCTGTCCATCTGCTGATCTGCTGACTTGCTGGTCTGCTTCTGGAGTCTAGGATTCATGGTTTATATGGGTGCAGGATAGGGGGCATAGTGGGCCAAAAGGCAACTCTTTGGGTACAAAAACAGGAATGCCTGTCCTTATTTAGGGCCACAGGTCTTCAGGCTTGAGAGTGGGGTCTTTGATGAGTAACCACCCTCTTCTATACAGTATTTCCCTGTCTCTTGTCCATCCATATCAACACTCTTTGTGCTCTTAGCTTTCTCTATAAAAATTTAATAGTATTGTTGAACAGTTTTTCTAAATGGAGTTTTTCTCAATCTAATGTATATTTGAATCACTTGTAGATTTGTTAAAATTAAGGTCCTATTCAGCAGATCTGTTTGGGACCTGAAATTCTGCACTTCTACACTTCTAATTAACTCCTGTACATGCAGTATTTTGAGTAGCAAGGTTGTAGAAGAAAAAAAAAAAAAAGCAAGGCTGGTTTTATCTAGAATGTAGCGATTTCTAATTAATGTGGTAAAAGTGACATGGTTTGAAGACAATATAGGAACCGTGATTGTGGGAGATATCAACTTAAATGTTTGGATTTATGTATTTGTTTTAATCAATGAACATACCACCTCACACACACAAAAACAGTGCATTTGTTTCACTCCTTTGCTGCTAAAGCACCTTCACCAATTATTAATACTTGTTGATTGTTGGCTCAGATCATTTACATCTTTGCTCTCGTTATTTAATGATTTTAAAACTTGAAGAAGTAATTTGCTATTTCTCATTTAGGTTCTTATTTCTCTCTGCAGATGTAATATAGTATCAGCTAAGAAATTGAATCGCATATAATGTTTTTGGAACCATTTACTTTAGAATTTGCAATGACTATGTTAATTTTTTTTTCTTCTGTTGCAACAAAACTTACAACATCTTTGTAGAAACAATGGAGAGAAAAATGAAAACGACTTAATCATAATATTTTATTGACAATGCCTACCAAACAAATAAAAGACAGAAAACCATGAAAGAAACAGAATGCTATAAATTCAACAATATCAACATTATAAGATATTTTGATGTTGAACTCTTGACTAAACTGGCGCCATTTGGATATTCATCCTTAGTAAGCAACCCCTTAGTTTCCCTTTCTGTACCCACCCTCTATTTAATCCTCTCGTTTAATACTCATGAGCTTCAAATTAACTTGTTTGTCTGTACTGTATGTTGCTGTAGTATATGTTGCTATATACTATATAAACATATGTACTATGTTTCTTTACTATATGTTGCTGTAGGGAGAGTTTGCCAATATGAAAATATTGTCTAAAAGTAGGGCTGCTGCTATACCAGTTACTCTGGTTGGAGGGCACAGGTAGGTTAGAATTGGTGTCTGTTCTGATTTGGCCATCATGAAGTCTGATAGATCTGTGCATGGTAAATGTTCTCTACATTTTACTGCCCCCGCCCCCAGTTAGATCTCTTTCAATTTAAATTTTCATTTATGCTCCTGGTGCCATGAACAAGACATTATTGAAATTTGTATCACATTCCTATTTGAATTTAGTCTACTATGGAATAGTTTATGAGAAATTTTGAAGGGAAAATAGTTGAAATATTTAAAGGCAAACCAGAATTTAATGAATATGTTCTAACATATTATCATCATAGTTTTCATGGATTAAATTCTCTAAAGACAATTTCTGTAAATCCCCAAGGAAAAATATAACGAAAATCAATTATTCTCTAGTTAGTTAATAAGGAACATCTTATAAAGTTAATTCCAAATATTGCTAAATTTGTATTTGGGAAAATAATACTGAGCTATTATATATCTTATATAATGCCCTTAAAAGTTAGAATTAAAATAAATCAAATGTAATATTTCATGATTAATGCAATTCACACATGGATTTTAAATTGATTGTTTATTTGTTGTCCCTTTGTCAAAGACTGTATTTTCTATTGGGACAGAATTGATGTGTTCTCAATTTATATATTCTTCATATATTCAGAAGATAATTTTTTACTTAGTGGTCCACTGAACAAGTTATATATTTCAAGAATAAAAGTCTCACAAAACTCTAGCAAATTTAATTCCTTCAAGACTAAAGACGGGAAAAACTAGGGTGTATTAGATTTTATTGCAATAGTTCTTAAAAGCAAAGATTTTGATCTATCTCTAATGCTATACGAGAAGAAGAACCAGTATCAAGATACATAAGAAAGAAGTGAAAACAAGAGTAAGGAGTTGAATATATATGTATAGGAGTATATGTTTTATTAAGCTAAAACCTTTTAAAACCATCATATCCTAACACAAATAATTTAGAATTAAAATTGCTTCTTGGTATGACATTCACATAGGAGATTTATATTTGTTTAAGGATACCAAACAGCCAAATTAGACTTGAAGGGATTTATGCCTAAGTCTGAAGTTATTTAGGACATAATAAATTAATAACTACATACCGACACATAATCATGTTATAGGTCAGGAAGATAGACTTTCTACTTCGGACAATTTTCTCTATGTCAGGAGGAGAACTGTGCTAGAAATGGCGATGGTTGATGTCTTTGTCTTTCTAACTATATGGTTTCAAAACTTGTTTTAAAGCATGGTAGTCTTCATCATTGTTGTAGCTAACTCCTACAGGAAAATATGAGCAAACTTAGGTATAATACAAAAATAAATATAGGCTGTAATAGTGAATTTTAGGTTTCAACTGACTAGATGCCCAAATACCTGGTTAAACATTATTTCTGGGTCTGTGAGGGTGTTTCTGGAGGAGATTAGCATTTGAGATGAGGAACTAAACAATGTAGTTGGTCCTCACCAGTGTGGCTGGGCATCATCCAATACACTGAGGGCCTAAATAGAAGAGAAAGTGGGAGGAAGGGAGGAATCACACTCTTGCCTGACTGCGTGAGTGGGGATGACCACCTTCTGCTTCTGGCACTCTTAGTGAGAGGTGAAGCTGCTGGGCTTCTGGGTCGGGTTGGGACTTGGAGAACTTTTCTGTCTAGCTAAAGGATTCTAAACAGATCAGTCAGCACTCTGTGTCCAGCTAAAGGTTTGTAAATGCACCAATCAGCACTCTGTGAAAATGCACCAATGAATGCTCTGTGTCTAGCTAAAGGTTTGTAAACGCACCAATCAGCACTCTGTAAAAACGCACTAATCAGTGCTCTGTGTCTAGCTAAAGGTTTGTAAATGCGTCAGTCAGCACTCTGTAAAAAGGGACCAATCAGCACTCTGTGAAATGGACCAATCATTGCTCTGTAAAATGGACCAATCAGCAGGACATGGGCGGGGCCAAATAAGGGAATAAAAGCTGGCAACCCAAGCCTGCGCTGGCAACCTACTCGGGTTCCCTTCCATGGTGTGGAAGCTTAGTTCTTTTGCTATTCACAGTAAATCTTGCTGTTCCTCGCTCTTTGGGTCCGCACTACCTTTCTGAGCTGTAACACTCACTGCGAAGGTCTGAGGCTTCACTCCTGAAGTTAGCAAGACCGCAAACCCACCAGGAGGAACAAACGATTCTGGACGTGCCACCTTTAAGAGCTGTAACACTCACTGCCAAGGTCTGCGGCTTCACTCCTGAAGTCAAGTGAGACCACGAACCCACCGGAAGGAAGAAACTCCAGACACATCTGAACATCTGAAGGAAAAAACTCTGGACAAACCATCTTTAAGAACTGTAACACTCACTGCGAAGGTCTGAGGCTTCACTCCTGAAGTCAGCAAGACCACGAACCCACCAGGAGCAACAAATGACTCTGGACGCACCACCTTTTAAGAGCTGTAACACTCACTGCCAAGGTCCCTGGCTTCATTCTTGAAGTCAGTGAGACCAAGAACCCACTGGAAGGAACTAATTCTAGACATGCTAGTTCCCAGATCCTGTTTCTCTGGAGAGGCCTAACTAATACATAGACAAAGCCAAATGACTTTTTCCCCTCTCTGAACTTTGATATTCTTTAAACATTTCCAGCTAGTTCTTTTAATATTTCTTGAGGATTTCCTGGGATTTTTTTTTTGGTAAATACTGTATTTCACCAGCTACTCCTTCAAGAACATAGTCGTCATATGCTTTATTATCCATGAAGATTATTAGTGAACCCACAGTTCGTTTGTCAAAATGACTCTAAATTCGTGATATTCAGATGATCACACTCCATAATACTGCCACCAGAGCCAAGTTATTGGAGTTACTACTTTTTATGATCAGCACAATTATTTTTCTATGAAAGAATTGTTGGTATTAAAAGGGCCACAGTAGACTATTTGCTATTGAATGATTGTTGGTTAGTACTTAATTAAAACAAAAATGTTTTTTATAGCTACTTAACTCCAAGTTCCATCTTTTCCATCTCTAGAAGTACATAAGCCTTTTCGTTGAAATAACACATTTTTCTGAAGTAGAACATGATTATTGTTAAGAAATATAAAAATGGCCTTTAATCTCACCATTTAAGATAGAAAGCTTTTCATTTTTTCTATGAACATATGTTTTAGAAATTTATATGACAAAATATATGACGTGATATATTTCTGTTTTATTCTTAAGTAATATTGGACTATTGGGCTATATTATCATAAGTTTTTCTTTTCTTTTCTTTTCTTTTTTTTTATTTTTGAGACAGTTTCACTCTTTTTGCCCAGGCTGGAGTGCAATGGCACAATCTGGGCTCACTGCACCCTCCGCCTCCTTCCTGCCTCAGGCTGCCATGTAGCTGGGATTATAGGTACCTGCCACCACGCCCAGCTAATCTTTGGTATTTTTCATAGAGACAGGGTTTCACAGTGTTGGCCAGGATGATCTCGATCTCTTGACCTCGTGATCCACCTGCCCTAGTCTCCCTAAGTGCTGGGATTACAGGCGTGAGCCACCGTGCCCGGCCTATCATAAGTTTTTCGAAAACGGTTGTTTGTGGCTAAATAATAGTTCTGACATATTAATACTAGCTTTTCACCATTATTATATGTATGATAAATAGTAACAAAACAAAATGACTGAATTTTCCTGTGCTTGTATTGTTATCATTATTGTGGATTTAATCGTTTGCCAAAAATTTTCAAATTATTGCTGGCTCGTAAGGAAATTAAGAGAACTCTTGATAGTGTATATTTATTTTGTGACTAGCCACTTTAATTAGTGATCCTAATGATTTTTTATTTTCCAGTTGATTCTCCCGTGCCTCGGGAAAAAATAAAATAATTTACAAAGAATAATGTTTTATAGACTTCTTTCAATTCCTATGCTTCTTTTATGTTTTTCATCTTATTGAGCTGGTCAAAGTTTATGAGATATTGTAATAAGAGAGGGTGTCCTTGGTATGATGTGAAGTTTGAGGACATGCTTGCAGGATAATGCATTTCTTCATCCTTGAATCTTTTTTTTTTCTGGTGGAATATGAAACCCTTGTATGTATTAATATTTGTAATCCAAAGAAAATGTACCTTGTTTCTTGGTTAACTGACTTTGTTTCCTGAGAGAATTGTTTCACATCCACCCACACCCCCACCTTTTAAAGAGCTATCATCCTTTTTTTTTTTGGTTCACCCTTTCTTGCCCACGTATCTGTCATTTGCCTTTGAGTTTTACGTCTGTGGTTTTTGTCTGTATTTTAGAAGTTCCTTATATCTTCCACATCATAATTTTAAACAGACTTCACTTTGCTTATCCTTATGTCCTCAACATCCAGAATAGGGCATATTGTACATCAGAGTCAAGATCTGTGTGTTCAGTGGAAGAACGTGTGCAGTGTTATTGGTGCCCTTTATCATATGCAGTGGAGTCTCTCTCACTCCCACAGCTTAGAATTTCTGCAAATTTTACCTCATCTTAACCAGCTTCATTTTCCTCCATTTCCATTTATTTTTCTGTAGTTGAGGCAGACATTTTTGACATGTTTACCTCATCTTTCTTTTCTCATTGTGGCTGACTTTCTTCACTTCATGTGAAGAAAGGAAGATAGGAAGTAGCTGTCAAAATTTTCTTATAGTTCCTGCACCATCCTAAAAGGTAAGTGGAGGAAGACAAAGTTGATGTCTCTTTTCCCTTTCAAAGGTCCCATGTTTGTTTATTTCTTTAATTCATGAGCCCCATATTTGGTAAATGAAAGGGGTATGGCATGCCTTTTACCTTACTCAGTGTCTCTTTTTAGGTTAACCACTAGTGGGAGAAATGGAGGATGGCAGATTAATGTAGCAACCAGCTCAGTTGGCAGTTTTCTCTGTGCCTCTGCTAAACTGAATGTATCTCTTCTACTATCCTCATTATTTGTTTTTTGGATTCTCTGAACTATGGCATCCATGATCATCTTTAATTCATACAGTGCCTGCTCTCAGTAGTTTGGTCTTCTCCTTTCAGACCACCACACTTTACTGGTGGAAACGACACCTTAGACTGGATGCAAGCACCACTGGCTAACTTCATTTCTGACCTTTGTTTCCAGAAATTTGCCATGTCCAGATGGATTTAAAAATTACAGGAGATAGGTGCAGCAGATGATCACTGCTCTGGCCATTCCAAAAGCATGCTATAGGAAGTGGCAGCATTTGGTTGGTATCAAAGCTGGGACTCTGGGACTGAAAATATGCAATGGGAAAGAAACAAAATGAGTACCATTTTTGAGGCTGACAATGCTATTATATTTCATAAAATGAAACATGAATATATTTTCTATATTCAGGCCCATGACTTTATGGTTAGGGTAAATACTCCAAAGATTCTGATTATAATATTTCTGTAAGGTGTAGTTTTAGGTGTTTTGTAAGTTAGTAATTTTTTGAAAACTTTATTAGATATTTAAGCGAGGAGTCTACAAGGCTATATGGAAGGTGCTATTTAAACCAGCAGCCTGCACTTATGTTCATTTTCACTCACTCATTCCTTTTAAACTTTTATTTTTCTAATTACCCAAGTTAAAAAAAAACAAATATGGTGCAATGTGAGAAATGTATAAACTAGAACATTAAAGTTTCTAAATTTCTCATCCTCTAGGGTGACCATTGTTAATTTGGTATCTCCCTTGACAGATTTTTGTTTCTATGCATGCACAGCAACATTTTCCAAAGTGAAATATGGAGTACTAGACCGGAAATATTCCAAAAAATTATGCAAAAAAACACAAAATAATTTTAGCAAGTAATTTGACCTAAACAAAATTGTTTTGTGGCCAGATTTTTCAGTGCCTGTAATATACTCATATGCCTTGTGACTCTCTAAAAAAAGGATAAAATATGCATCATTTTCCAAACAATTTGATTATACAGATTACATAACTCTTTTTTGTGGAAGTTATATTCCACTAACATGCTTTGAAAAAACACTGCTTACGTTTTGCTCTATATATTCTTCTGTAATCCATTTTTCACGCTTAACTTATCATTGATATTCCATATCAATGCATTCTAACCTAAATATTTAATACAGTTGCATATTATGCCAGTGAATGAGCACTTCATAATTTAACAAATTTGCTATTGACTAATATTTTGATTGTTTTTAGGTTTTTGCTATTCAGGGCACTAACTACTCCAGTCCTTGTCACTTCAACTTTGGCCAGTTGCTGATTAACTCCTCAGAGAAATACCTAGAAGTGGAATTGATACATAGACTCAAATGTCCACCAAAAAGATGGTACTAATTTTCAGCATCCCATCAACAGTATATAAATATGACAGGTTCTCAACACATGAAAACAAAATTTGAAACATTTTAACATGTACTAATGTAGTAGGTCAAAAAAACCTTATTGCCATTTTAAGTTGGATTTTCTATTTCTTCAGTTTTAATTGACTGTAAATACATTTTTGTATGCTTATTGTTCATTTTTGTATTTTTCTTTTGTGAATTACCCATGAATTCCCCTTGTTTATCTTTTCTTATTTCAGTGTTACTGTTTTTCCTTAGAAACAACAATAGAATTAAGGATAAGCTTTGGTGTTTCATATTTTCATATGTTTTGCTTTTTGTCACTTGCTTTTCACAGTTCTTAATTACAAGTATATATAGTGTTTGTATATACATGCATTTTACCTATGTAATGTATGTCTACATAATTTTAAAGTGTTCAAGTTTATGATTTTTTAAAAATATCCTGATTTTGGTGTCATTTAAATACTATCCCTTCTATTTATATATCTTTTGATTACAGAGTACATGAAACTGTTCCCTTATCATTTCAAATACATTTATGCTTTAAAAATATATTCTTAAATGATTAAAATTAAACTTGTTTTGATATATAATATTATTTGTTTAATCTTTGGACCTAAATACAATATTGTACCTTGTTTTATTCCAACCTATCTTGTTAGCTTTTGTGCTATATTATCATCTAATTTTGTTTTGAATATTATGTGGTTTATATTAATAATTATTGCTCTTGGCTCTGTTTTGTTCTTTTTTTCCATTCAACTTTTAATAAAACTGAAGAGCATCAGAGTACTTTTTCATGCATGAAACTTCAAAGTACTTCATAGTATAAACATCTCCAGGGTGAAATGTCAGATAAAGATCACAGGATATTAAGACTCAGTATAAACATACCGTTATTGAACCTACACAGTTTGCCATTTTAGCTAACTAATTTCAGCATTTTCTGTATTCATAGTGTTTGTTAACAAATAATCAATCCTATTTGTAGTCGTTACTTTTCCAAAATCATCATTTTCTTTTCCAAACAGCTGCCTCAATGAGTTTGTTATAAATCTTAATTAGTTCTAGTCTTTAGATAATCAAATTGCAAGAAGTGAAATACAAATTTAAGAGGGGAAAATGTTGGCCATATCGTTTTCATCTTGGCTTGCTTCTCTATTGTCAAATCATGGCATATTTGGGGCAACATGACAGTCACTAAAGTAACTCCTCATCCTTTAATTTACAAACCCTGTGAGTGCGCCTTGCCATATACATGCAGCCATAATGTATTTTTCTCTGAAATTCTGCTCATGCTACTCAAGGGTCTAGAACATCACCACCTGCCCTGTGCACCCTCAATAAATATTAATTACCACCACTAATTAGAAATGTTGACACATGCATTTTTAATTACAATTGAGGTTGTATCTGAAGAGAAGAAGGCTTCAGTTAATTAAATATCAGGGAATATTTTCACAAGATTGGAGACATTTGACAAAGCAATCAAGTCCAAAGCATATTGTGAAAGTTTTTGAGATGTAAAATATTACTTTAACTATTTCAAAGTAGAAATACCCCTGCTTTGGAGCAGACTGTTTAACACTCCAGGGACATGTGTTTTTCATTCCTACAACTTTCTATTAACCTATCTGCTAATTTAAGAGCTTAACTGAAACATTATTATGCATATAATTTATTGTTATTGTTTTTAAATGTTAAAGTATTCTGTGTGCTGCCATGGTTCCGAAGGCATCAAGACAATGAAAGAAATATAAATGATTAAAATGATCTATAATCATTGTAAAAAATTTTAAAAATAAAACTCTTCCCATATGATAACCCAAATGTCCTACTATGGTCCCATGGAATCTTCTGGTCAAAGAATGAACACTCCTTTATACAATGCTACAGGATTAAGTAGATTTTTGGGAGACTATTGACTGGTGTAGTATGTGCTGGAAGACAAGCTGTATGTATCTGCTACTCTAGCTAGGACACCGTCTCTTGAAAAACTGAACCTGTGAAACATTGTATAATTGTATGGATCCAATGAGAAATTTTTTATTGGGTCTAAATGCAATTGCATTATTGAATTTCTATTTGGTAGTCAAGAATTAGGCAACATATTACTGCAATGGTATGTCAATTGACACTGTCATGTGTAAGAATCAGAATTGATTATATTATATTATACCAGTGTGTGGGAGCATATCTTCTGTCTGCAAATTATTGTCACTTATTGCACATCAAAAAAGATATCTATACTTTCATTTTGCTCTAAGTTAATGAGACCACCCTTGGGAGAGAGTTCATATGTCTGCACGTCTTGCAAAGAAAGTAACTGACAGCTTTTTTTCTGGACTATCTTTTCAAGGACGTTTGCATAGCAAAGTGGCTTGGTAGATAAAGATAGTGTCTTCTTCAGGAGCAGAGGGAAGATTTATTCTCTGTCCAATATAAGACGGATGTCTCCCTCCAGTGAAAAGTTCACTTGCAGCCCAATTTAAAAATTGGTGTTTCCTAGGTTTGGTGTTTCTTACCTGTAACACAAATCTCTCTGCCTACTCGACATCTACTTGGGCCACTTGCCATCACCATTGTTTGACTTTGAGTACAAGGGGGATTGACAAAAATATAAAGCTCAACTGCTCATTTTGCAGTGAGGAATAAAGTCCATTGTCTCCTATATAGGAGGCTCGTGTCTTCTGTTAGCACCCAAGATACTATGGCAGGCTAACTTTCAGCTTGCAATTAGGTGAAATATCACTCTTCACAGTTCTTGACAACTACATTTGGAACCTATGTTCAGTTTTCCCAGATGTATTTTAGGAGACAATTGAAAGAAGTAACATAAATCCAAGTATGATGATGCTCTAAAAATCAGAAAAGGGAGAATCTAAGGAAATGAAGATGTTTTTGCTGATAAAATAGAAAGCCTAGAAATTTATTCTATATTTCTTTAGAACCTAGAAGTCACAAGAATGTAAATTTTGATGTACAATGAAGTCACAAGAATATAAATTTTGATGTACAATGAATATTACTTGTTCTGCTAATATTTAAAATGCCTTGATCACTACAACTCTAATGTTTGCTAGTCAAACTAAGAGTATTGCAACATGGCACTAGGAACTGTGGAAACAATTGAAATCTGAGATGGAAAATTTACACTCTTCCAAAAGAGTATAAACTAGATTATAAAGCTAGTTTACAACTTAGTTTGTATAGTAGTTATATGTTTACATCTAACACTGACTGACATAAAATTAAGGCTAAAGGAAGATGTATAATTGTTAACACTGTGGACTCTGGAAAAATATCGAGGTAGATAAGAACTGGAGATTAAAAAAAACTTCATGTAAAAGGTAAAATTTACAGCTGTTCCTGGAGCTTTAATCAGATTCACAAGGAGGAATGGGGTAACCAAGAATTCTGCCTGCTTCTGAGAGTGGAACTTGTCTTACACATGAGAAACCACTGAAACTGAAATTGTCAGAAAGGTAATGAAAGAGTTACCATTGACACACTGAGATAATTTTCATACTGATGATGTAGACTTTAGCAGCAATTTGTAGCAGTATTTCATTAGTGCCTGGTTTATTATAGGTGTGAACCACAAATGTTCTTTCAAATTTAAGGCCACTAATTGTAATTTGAAAAAGAGATGTTACTATTTTTACTTATTAATTTAATTCATTGTATAATCTATAATACGCTCACAACAATGAATCATGTTAAATAATCACTTAAGCACTTGCAAAATTTTCCTAATGCATGCATTATCTTGGAAGTTACATTTTACCTTTTCTGAATTAAAGATATTTCTGGTTAGAATAGAGACTATGAACGACTGTAGGTGTCCTATGGCATCAAAAAAACTCATGATGTTTATTAAATAGTTAATAGTTTAAAAATGAATAGCTACTTAAGGAAATAATGCTGATTTTAAGTTTTTCCTCAAGAACAGGCAGCAACATTATGTAAAACAGTTTTTTTCAACATCTTGACAATTAATGCTTCTAAAAGAATATTCAAGAATACAAATGAGCAGTTCTTAAAAAGGAAGGTCTTTATAAACTCTTCATTTTAGAAACTATCTTGACTTCTTCACAGGTGTTGATATTGAGTGTGTATTACTAGTAGTCAAGAACCATCATTTTGAGTTATCTACGATATCCTGAAGCATACAAAATAAATAATCATCCTGAATAAAGAGAGTATAACTGTAAACTTAAATTCTAGTTCCTCAGAATATTTCTTCTTATTAAAATAAGCATTTTTATATATGTAACCAATGGTATAATCAAATAGACTAATATGGGTGAAATATATACATATGCATATATATTTATAAGGTATGCATTATTCTAGAGGAAATTAGATATTTTGTTCAAAGATGTTTGTTCTTTTTTTGTGTGGAGGGAGGATAATACAGGGTCTTACTCTGTTGATCAAGCTGAAGCACAGTTGTGCAATCACAGCTCACTGCAGCCCCAACTTCCCAGGCTCAAGTGATCCTCCCACCTTAGCCTCCCAAGTAGCTGGGGCTACAAGCACATGCCACCACACCCAGATAATTTTTTGTATTTTTTGTATAGACAGGGTTTTGCCATGTTACCCAGGCTGGTCTCAAACTCATGGGCTCAAATGATCCACCTGCCTCGGCCTCCCAAAGTGCAGGGATTACAGGCGTGAGCCATCATGCCCAGATCAAGGATATTTATACTTACATATTGAAATATGTAGCCATTTTACCATTAAAATTGCAGTAGTTCACGTCCGTAATCCCCACACTCTGGGAGGCTGAGGTGGGTGGATCATCTGAGGTCAGGAATTCGAGACCAGCCTGGCCAAAATGGTGAAACCCCGTCTCTACTAAAAATACAAAAATTAGCTGGGCATGATGGTGGGTGCCTGTAATCCCACCTACTCAGGAGGCTGAGGCAGGAGAATTGCTTGAACCCAAAAGGCAGAGGTTGCAGTTAGTCAAGACTGTGCCATTAGACTCCTGCCCGGGTGACAAGAGCTAAACTCAGTCTCAAAAAACAAAAAAAAGTTTTAAAATATCGTTTTCCCTTCATTCCAAGTCTGATCCCTAAATATTGATTTGTAAACATATTTTAGAACAGTTTGCTCCATAGAAGATGCAAAGAGGCTATTGAGAAGAGATGGATTTATTAATCTATAAATGGGTCTATTCTGATTATATTAACGTTACCTGCATTCAGATAAAAATATTTAGCCCTGAAAAAAAGACATTGTCTTGCAAAAAATAGAACAATGCATTTTTTTAGAAAATACATTTATTCTGGCATGATAATTTTGCCAGAATTCTCTATAAACTTTCTCCTAAATGCGAAGGAAGCACTATGTCACAGTAAGACTGCGGATATCTCTGTTCATCTTGTAGCTACAAGTAGGAGCATGACTGCAAGAATCAAGTGAACTGTCACCTACTTTTGAATGCAGATGGAATTGCACATACATAGTATGCATATGTAGCCTTCTTTCTTAGCAAGGAACGGAGCCGATCTAGCTCACTAGCCAAGTTAGAATTTTTTGTAGTGAGATATATTTCACTCCAAAATAAAAATAATAACTGTCTTCTTATTAGCGATGATTCAGATCATAATCAATATGAAGCTCACAAGTTGTTGCAGAATAATAAAAGTCATTTGATTAGATGCAGTCACTTATCACTCCATGTGCATCAATTTTAGCTCCTTTCCTGGTAGTGGTTTTCTATACGACACAGAATAATGCCAGGAAAACGTGAAGCCCCTAAGGGGACAGGAAGCCAAAGGCAATTGTTTTCTATTTCACATTTTTGTGAGAACTTGGCCTGCTTTTAAGTTAAAGATGTTTGGTTCTTATTATCCACAAAGGTGGGACGTTGGTTTCTTGACAAAAGAAGACTAAAAGACTTAAACAAGCCTCAGTTCCCCTAAATGCCAAAACAAAACTCCAACAAAGCATTTCAAATACAAGGTAGCTCCTGAAAATCTTGTATATTTCGGTACCAGGTTACAGGTGATTAATGTAGAATATGTAGGCCTTAATTTCCCTTGCAGAGTGTTGACAGATAGTCTGTCAGTTGAACTTGACTACAATACTTTTAAAATTACCTTCATTAACACACAAAGACAAAGGTCATATATTTATACATTTGACATTTAACCAGAAGAATATCAGTCCCTCCTTACTTTTAATTTAAGTTCTCTCGGTAATATTAAATAATAATTTTGGAAGGAATAAATAGAGAGAAGAAGAGTATAAATAAATAAATTAGGTAAGTGGAAGGACGACAACAGATAGAAAAAAGCCTAAAAATGCAGTAAAAGTTCGAAAATAGTTGATGAAACATTTCTTGAGAAAAAAAGTAGCCAGAAAGCATTAACCAGCTAAAATGTTGTGTATGGCTAATGTACTAAAGCCATCCTTTTTCTTATGTGTATGATATGGGCTGGTATCATTTCTGGTGATGGATTTTTTCTCTGGAGAATTGCTTTTATTGTGAAGGTGAACCAGACAGTGATAGACTTACGTAGTAGAGAGAGGTGCATAAAAGAAGAAGTGAGGCCTGTGGATTGGGAATTTATGGAAGGATGCTTGAGGCACTCTCCTCCATTGTGCATACATTCACTCTTCACATATTGCCTTACACTGTTTCAAAGGGAGTAGAAAGGCAGTGGGAGGAGGAGAGGCCTTGCCCAATTAGCACCCAGGGCTCTCTACCACTGGCATTGCTTATTAAACCACGAATTTTGCTCTGATAACTTCAGACACTCTAGGCATCTTGAACACTATTATAAGTGATTAGTTGAAATGATGGCACATGAAAAGGGCAGATGGTACAGCAATAATGGAGTTAATTATTGTTCAGATACGTTGTATCAATTTATGTACCATATTTTGTAAAAAATTTTTGGAGAGGCAAGGCAAAAACTGATCACAGAAAGCCAAATTATATTCACTTTATACGGTAATGAAGATACATGCTTATAAATTAATATAAATTCCATAATGTCTATTTAGCCATATTCTGACTTTTATTACCCAAGACAAATCCCATTATCTTCAACAAGATGGGCATGCAAGTATTTAAGGGCAGAATGTGTTTCAAAATGAATAAACTATGAGTAACTGTAAGAATAATATGCTTTTATTTTATTAAGGTTTTCTGGTTAACATCAACTGTAAAGAGTAGCTCAGATGGTTTGCACATGGTGTTGAAGCCCCAGATAAGTTTATTAGAATCAGCACACTCTGCTTATATGTATTATTCAAGTAAATGGACCCTGACAACCATAAAGATAAGTAATAAAACTAATAGTGCATTCATCAGTTAGAGCTACCTGTTTCTAAATGTACAAACATTTAACTTTTAGTGGTGACATTTGTTTATTGTACTGTTAGTAAAAGAGTTATTGTTTTAAAGACATTTTGCTATTGTCAGTTATCACTAAAATAATCCTGTTTCAGCATTTCACCTTCATGGTATTCATATCTGTGGTCTGTAGAAGAGCCCCCAGTAACCTTAATATCTAGGAATTTTAAAAAACCAGATGCCTGCTGAATAATGCTAACACATTAGAGTACTTCCATTTGCTCCACCGGTAATTGTCACAGTTGTGTCGTCTCCTCTAGCTGTACTTGTTACACTGCCAAAAGTGACGTCAGGAATCTAGCCACAGAAGAGAAAGATTTGAGACTCTAAAACAAGCAATTCCTTCATAACTTGTCTCCTGTTTCCTGGATAGTGGAGTATTTTTACTTTTTAGATTAATGACAATTTATAATTGGTGTTTGTTTAATTTAGATTTAATTTGACATAGTTTAATAGAAGTTTTATTCAAAGGAAACAAAATACATCAGGGTCTCCTAGAGAAGAGAAGCAACTGCTAGTCAAACAAGGGTTCCCAGCTACTTCATCCGTCTACATTTGTATCCAGCTGAGGGCAATATTTCTCAGAATTTTTTTGTGCAAACAAATATACCAAGAACCTCATTAACGTGAAGAGTCTTGATCCCATCAAAATAATTTTTAATTCAAATGGTCTGGGAAAGCGCCGGGTCATATACATTTTATATAAACATCTCAAGATATTTTAGTGCAAAGAAGTCACAGATGTTGATAAAAATTTGTCAGTTGACTTATTTAGAACATGAACAAGACTTCTGGAAGGTCTGCACCAGTCTAGATGAGAGCCTCAAATAGGTCTCCTGGGCCAGACAAAGCCTGATTAGAATAGAGGGTGCTTTTCTGACAGGTTAGAAGAGCCCGGCAGTATTTTGCATTTCTGTGCATTCATGTGTGTGTGAAGAAGCCTATGAACACTTGTCATAGATTTGTGAGGCTGTTGACCCATGTTATGAGATCAAAAATGTCAACATCATCATGTTGAATTAAGGGAATGTTACTTATTCCAGGGGTATAATTTTTTGATATATTTTAAAATAGATTCTTATGGTTTCTGAAGCTCTTTAGTCAAATATTGCAGCATTTGAAGCTGGGTTAGCCAATGGTATTTTTTCCCAAATAAGGGGTTTTTGATTAAGATATGCTGGGCTGAGGGCAAAAAATATATATATATTTCTCTGGTTTTTAATGTCAGAAATAGACAGAAATAGCCAAGTTCTGTGGCACACTCCTATAATCTCAGCTACTTGGAAAACTGAGGCTGAGAAAACTGAGTTTGAGAACAGCCTGGGCAACATAGTAAGACCCTCATACCACACAAAAAAAGGAAAATAAATTGAAAATTTATACAACGAATTGTGTTCCCTAAAATTTTTATCCTTTATTTTCCACCAAATACTATTTTTCTACTAGTTACTACAAGCCCAGTACTCTACCTCTCTTCTTCCCACAAACACCAGGACTTACAAAAGATTATTCTTTTTAACTTTGCTTTCTACCTACTTTATTGTATAAAAAACATTTTCCAGATTTTTAGTTTTCTTGAAACTTTCTGGCAATAAAAAGGAACATGTTACTCTTCCGATTCGATGATTGCTTTTGAATATGTATACAGTGTGCTTTTTATTATTTATAACTTTTGATAGTTCTCTCCTATTTGTAACCCCCTGCTTTTCATTTAAGTGTCAATTTCTAGTAATTCTCTTCTTGCCTTGATTTTTTTTTTTTTAGTCTCTTCTCTATATCTTCTTTCTTTGGCCTTTTTACATACTCTACATGCTCCACCTGGGTAATCGAAATTATTCTCTTGGCTTCAACTCCCACTATATGCCATGCTTCTGAAATCTAGTGTCCAGACCTAGCCTCCCTCCTGAAAGTCCGGCCTATGTTTGTAAAATTATATTCCTCCAGTGAGATGCTCCACTGTGTCAATCAGGATCTGGGTAGGAAGCAGAAGAAACTTTGAAATCAGATTCTAAAGAAAAGTCGATGACATGTAGGCAACGTTACAGAAAATTAAAAAAGAGATGTTAAGATGCTGAGGAACCAGCTACAGCTAGAGATCCTGGAGCCCTGGAGAAGGAACAGAAATTAACTATGAAGATAGTCCATATTATTGTGAGTGACATTATAATTTTTATAACTCCACATCAAGTGTGTTTTGCAGACACAACCCAAGGCTGATGCTAAGAAAAATTACTCTGGCCAATTACCTTTCTTTCTGCCAGATAAATTCAAACACTGCATAATAAGAATTAGTTGATTCTCAATTTATCTGAAGGTGATTTATTTTGTATTTGATATTTGGCTTTCTAAAGATTGTGGCAGATGAGCTGTGATAATCATTTTTCTACGAAGCATGCCTATTACCTTTAAATGGATAATATCAGTATTATCATCAAATTTTCTTAGTCAAAAATATTTTCTCTAAAAATCTTCATATTGGACATTATAAAAATATTCCCTAAACATTTAAATAAACATGTAAAGCTTTACACAACAAGAAAATACTTCCTAATATTATAAAATTGTTAAATTTTTTTCTATAAAGCCAATAGGAAGGATAATTCTAGTACTTGATACTCTAAATCCAATTAAAATATATTATGATCTTTAAGCTCTTCAGAGGTAGTTTTAGGGTATATGAAACAAATATCTGGTAACTCACCTTGTCTTTATTTTCAATTTAGAAAATTTAGAATGTATTATCATCTGTATTGAATTTAACTATTAACAACATGGTGATTTATGTTTAAAATAAATCAGTTACCTTTTCTGCACATATGTATTGCACATATTCTTAGCAAAATAAACTTTTTGCTATGTGCTTGTACTTGGTAAATGATCCCCAAAATGCTATTATTATTATTATTACTCATGCTGTTTACAAAATCTCCTTTTTTTATTTTCTGCATTTTTAAAAACTACACTTATAGGATATTTAATTGTGAGGATAATTTTCCCTTAGACTTTATCATCTTTAGAAAACAGAAAAGAAACCTTCTTTATCCTGCTATTTTTAAGTTATAAATAAAGAAAAAATGAGCTTCTCATTTTATTAAAACAAGTACAATTATAAAAACAATGTTTTTGTTCAAATTTATTTAGAATAAACAGTTCACAGAGACCTAATGATTGTCTAAATAAATTGTTTGATACAGCTGTTTTTCCTTCCTTTGGGATTAAGTTTCTTTCAGATTATTCAAGCTGGGAAATGTGATAATAGCACTTAAAATATCTTACTCGACAAACCAAATCCACATTCTGTAACTGCCTCCAGAATGAGCATCAGTATTACCTCTCTGTTTATTTGGTGGATTCAGTTTGTGCTGGCTCTGCTTTCAGAGGCTGAGGGATTGCATGTTTCTCATTAAAATGAAGCTATAAAGAAGTAAAAGTCAAACAGGAACACAACTTGTTTTCCAATGTTATATTACAATGTTGAGGCAGGAGAACGTTTGCTGATAATATATAGTAATACCCATGCATTAGCCAAATGGGTAGCTCAGGGCACATGAGAAATATCATAGGAAAATAGCCATTTGACTCTCATAGAATGTTTAAATCTCATGTGTTTTTACAGATGAAGAACTTGATCAGAATTTAACTAACTTGTTCACATTATCACAGAGTGGATTAGTGGCACAACTGAGAGAAAAAGGCAGGTCTTCTGTGCTCCATGTAGAATATAACTGAGAAGAACAAATTATTCCCCGTTTGTTCTCAATTTGCCAGGGTTTCCCTCATACACATACTAGGCAGAATGTATGTTGAATAATGTCAGAACTTCTAAAGACATACCATCTTGTCTTTTTTAATGCCAGAAACCTGTCAATTATAGTTCCTCAAACTGCTAAGCAGCTGAACATGTTTTCCTTTCTGAAACTGAAATATTTGGGTGCAAGTAATCAAGTCTCCAAAGTCACTGATGAACATGGCAACTTTTGATGTATGTGATTCTGTATAATTAACAAAACAGTTTTACTTACCTGATATCAATCATTCTCACCATCTCAGCAGTATAACCCTTTGTAATGTAAAACAAATGTAAATATAACCACTCTATATTACTATCAGTTGATTGTTAAAAATAAATTAGAAATAAACTATAAACAATTTTATATACAGTTCCATTTAATCGATTGCAACAGTGTGAATCTTCTTAAACTTTAAAAATTTTAGCATGTCACATATTTATTTGATCTACAGAGAATGCCTAGTTTACTTCCAGGTTTGTGGATGCCCTCCAATAACTGAGTCTACCTGGAATTCACCACCAGTAGTTGGGAAACCTCTGCCTAATTTAATATGAACTTTCTGAGTTGTCGAGGTCAGGGTGTTGTGACTTTCACTTTTTCACTTTTAATGGATGTATAATTAAGATATAATTCACTGCAGAGATGTTAAGATTTAATGAATTTTGACAATTGTATAGGCTTTCATAACCAACACCCAAAACAAAACAGAGAGCATTTCTATCCGTGCAGATGACTTCCTTATACCCTTTACTAGTCATGCGGGGCTACAGTAACAATGCTCCTTACTCATTTGGTTTCTTTGCCTCTAAAGCTCTCCAGTTTTCCTAAGTAGGTGTAGGTAAGTGAGTGTATTTGTGGTTTGTTAATTTATTCAAAAATATTTGTTGTTTGCCTATTAGTTTCAAGGTACCATGCTAGGAAACACAGTGAGAAATCAAAGCTGAGAATGCAGCTGCCACGGAAGGCTAGTTTAAGGGTGATGTGAAAGAGGGAGCACTGATGAACAGAAAATCATGGTAGTAGTCAGTGGAAGATAAGATGTGTTGGGCTGGTGTACAACACAGTGCGAAAAGAAGGATAAGGTTGGGAGCAGAGTGAATGAGGAGACCTGTCTGTATGATCCTGTGCTTTACAGATAAGCTACTCTGCTATGATGCGCTGTGTCAAAGAGATAAGTTGTATAAGAAGTGAAGAAAGAAAGCAGTTTCTTAGAGTGGTGATATAAGGGATGCTACTGGAGGCAGTATTAACGAAAAGTTTAAAACAGGGAAGTGAATTTGAAATTTGTTCATACTTGCTTCAGAAGAGGGAGCTACAGATACCAATGTTAGCAACTTGAGGGCACAAAATAAATACAGATATTCACAGGTACATTATGGCTTGAGTCTGTGGTCTGTGTATTCTTGGTGTTATCCAGAGACCAGCAACAACTGCTACAGGGTTGGAGTTAAGAGCTCAATGTTACCATTTTTTCTTTCCATTAAACTGAATCTTTTATTTAATATTTAAGTACTTATTCTTCTCCACCTTCCTCTCTAAATCAGCTTTATATTCTTCTAGGAAGTTCTCACTGTTACTTTTTGAGTTATTCCAAGTTTTTTCCACACTGTCAAGCTTGGCCTTATCATTCCAGTAGAATAAAACATCTGCTTTAACTTTGAAACCCAACACTGACATTGTTGAGTCGACTCAGGGTGTAGGATAGAAGTGGCCTCATTATCAGAGGTCCACAGTAGCATTTACAGAATTAAGTGTGGGCTTTTGCAAACTGTGGTTTCTCCCCTGCCTGTGAGGTCTCTGTCCTCTTCCCACCCATGATTTTCTTATAAATCTTTAGCCTTTGATTAATATCTTAAACATGATTTGTTGCTTAAAAATGAGGGCTTTTTCAATCAGATTAGGTACAAAAAACACCTAGGAACTTAGATTCTAAGTAATCTGCTCTTACCACTTGGTGTCTTTGCTTGCATCATTCTCCCTTTAAGTACAAAGTTCTTCCAAAATCAACTGTATGCATAGTTTTTTTTTTTTTTTTACTAGAGCTCTCCTCAAACAAAACAAAACAAAACAAAAACCATATTGTTTTGAAGGTACTAATCTTTTCTCACTAGTATTCTATAACTTGCTACCTTGAAGCGATCCACATTACCACACTAGGTAGCTGCCATGGAAAATAAGGTAGTTTTTTAACCTAAGGCTTCATTATTTAATGACTATTTTTTATTGATACTTTTTCTTCTTATGGTTCATTATTCTGAAGCCATGATATTTCCTTTCATGCAACCAAGATCATTCTTTAAATTCTCTGAATTATGAGGCAATAAAGTACAGTGGCAAAGAATGTGATATCCACAGTCCCAACAGGTTTTATTCAGAGCTTCACCAGTTACTAGCTGGGAAAACTAGTAAATCTCTCTGCCCCTGTTTCTTGATATGTTTAAAGAAACAATAATAGTACTTACCCCCCCAGTTTGATATGTGCTTAGAACGATGCCTGACACATTGTATGTGCTCAATAGTATAAATACTTATATTTTCGCCACTATAATACAGCAGGTATATTTGTCTGTTTTATTGCCTGCATGATTTCTGGCACTTACATGCCTGGAACAAAGTTGAAATTGAATGAGTATTTGTTGATGGAACTCAACAATGGAATATTATTGAGTTTTACACACATACAGAATGAAACTATGCTGTCATTGAATGAGCTGGATGGGTTGATTTTCCTTTATGTAACACATTCCTCTTTTGACTTGAGTATAATCAGGTCAGCACTATAAATTTCACAGCTATCAGTTGATTAACCAATAAGTGTCTAAGTTAATACTGATGTGTTATTATTGGTACACCTGCTACCGCCCTACAAATTCAAAAGTACCCATTTCTGTGTTGTTAATTGATTTGATCATTACCTTTATGAACAGACACTGATGTTTTCCTGGAGAGAGTACTGCGCACATTCAAACGTGCTCTGAGGTTACACAGTGAAAATTAATTGAAGTTCAATGGAAACAAGTAACATTGAGTATTTGGGGAATGTCATTTTAAGGCCTTTACATTTATTTTAAAATTAACCTAAAAGTGTGGCATAAAGCTTGAATATTATCTACGTTTACCTAACACTGTAGCTCTGTTTATTTCAGGACCCTCAAAAATAATAATGCTAGTAGTATATGATAAGTAAAACAAATGGCTCTTAAATTTCAACAAATATCAGAATCACTTCAAAGGCTTGTTAAAAACAGATTGCTAGGCCCTATCCTCTGGTTTCTGATTCAGTAGACCTGAGATGGGGCTAAGCATTTGCGTTTCCGCTATGTTTCCAGGTGATACTGATGTTGCAGGTCGTGATAAACCACTTAAGAATGACTGAGTCAAAGGCTGACATCAAATGATAAATTAACAATTAATTTATAACATTTAGTCTCAAAAATGGAAGATGTGGGGAACTGCTTTCAAATAATTAAGGGCCAATAAATTGGGAAATGGATTAAACATGTTAAATGTGCCTCTTAAGGACTAACCGATGAAAGGAAAAAAACACAGAGAGGTGTTTCAGTTCAGATTTGTTAACATACACACAAACACACATACATGCACACATAAGTGGTTTCTAGAAAACAGATCAGTTCATAGGTGGTATGTATTGACTGAGGGGTTTGAGCTCTCTGTTTCTGGGGGTATTCAAGTCAAGGGTCTAGAACAGAGACAAATTGAAAAAGTGGGTAAGGATTTAGCACTATTGCTTTGACATCTCTTTTAATCCGAAAACCCTTAAGGGGTTTCCTGCAATTATCTGCTTAAATTACTGCCTCCAGGCAAAAAGGTGTCTAAAACACTTTAGTTAAGGAATAATTTGTCATGAGTGATATATGAGTTTCCTGTGGCTGTTGTAACAAATTAAAACAAACTTGGTGATTTAAGAAAACAGAAATGTATTCCCTTGCTGTTCTGGAGGCCAGAAATCCAACCAGGCTGTATTATCTTTGGAGACTCAAGGGTTCTTTGCTTCTTCCAGCTTCTGGTGGTTGCTGGCATTCGTTGGTTTGTGGCTACATCACTCCAATCTCTGCCTCTGTGATCAAATTGCTTAATGCCTCTTAAGTCTGTGTCCTTCTGTCTCATTCTTATAAAGACATTTGTGATTGCATTTAGGGCCCTAGATGATCAGCTAGATGATCCAGGATAATCTCTCCATCTCAAGATCTTTTTCTGCAAAGACCCTTTTTCCCAGTAGATAATATGTACAGGTTCCAGGCATTGGGATCTGATATCTTTGAAGGTCATTACTTAGTCTACTACAAATGATAAATCCTATCCCTTCTTTCTTATACTCTTATAATGTAAATGTACTATGAAAATAGTCTTACTGTGTAAAATGTACTTTATTACCGTTTTAATATTTCTGCTATGATACAGACAAGAGAAAAGACAGAGGATAATTTTTACTTGTCAGTTTTCCTATGTGATTGCATTCATCCATTATGGAAGAGAGGAATTAAATTTTTTGCCAAAACTGAGTCTTTTACGTAACATGTAGACAATGTTATATTTTTCCTGATAGGTGTTAAGGAGTTTGCTTTACTGCATTGTGTTTCTTTGTGGGATATGCTTCAACCAAATGCAATGAAACTGGCCTACTTTACATTTAAGAGCCGATCTAGTTAGCTGCTTTCATGAAAAAGTAGGCAAGGGGCTATTTGAAAAATTATTAAACCAGTTGTACAAGATTTAAATTAATAAAAACCACTATTATAACTTGAGCATTAATATTCACATTTAGCATATCAAGTTCAGCAAATCAAATTCATTGAAACTGAAAAATGTTACTGTACCTAGCAAATTTAGGATCTCAACATGCAGTTCCGGAATTGTTTTTCCCTAAAAGGTTTTTGAAGAAAAAAAAATCAAATGTTTCAAATAATGTTTATCAAGAATACTGAAAATTTAGATAATTCAGCTTAATTTTTATTTTTCAATGGATAACACGAAATTTATGCAGATAGACTTTACTAAGCTTGGCTTTCATCACATTACTTATTATCAATTAAACCTCAAAACTTTTAATTAAATCAAATTGTTATCTTTTAAAATTGACAAGCTCCATTTTTTACAGAATTAAATATCCCATTTCTAAACGTATAAACAATAATTAAACCAGACAGTCATTTCCCCTCACCAGCAGATCTTACATTGGTAAAGGAAAACAATATACAAATTTCAGCAACATGGGAAATTATATTAACCATGAATATATATATAATTTATTTTGGAGTTCACTTGTAGTCAGAAAAATAGATATTGTAATCATATAGACAAATACTGTAATGTTTTTGAGGTACACAATTATTCCTATTTGTTGTCATTCACCAGTGAGAAAAATTCAGTTGCAGACTCTTGCCTCTGGTGAAGGTCATTAATCAAGCTGTGATTCTTAAACAGCTTTATTGAGATAAACTTCTTATGCCATGTAATTCTACCTTTTAAACTGTATGATTCAATGTTTTTTAGTATATTTACAGAGTTGCACAACTATTACTGCTACCTAATTCTAAAACATTTTTATCACCCCGGAGAGAAACTTCATACCTATTAAAGATTACTCCTCATCCAGGGCAACCACTACCTTCTTTTTATTATAAACACTTCACATAGAATCATACCATTTGTGGGGTCTTTTGTAACTAGCTTCTTTCACATAGCATATTGTTTTTAAGGTCCATCATCATAATAATATGGAAATTACATTATTCCTTTTTATGGCAAAATAATATTCTATTGTATTGACAGATCACATTTTGTTTATCCATTTATCAGTTGGAAATGAAATTGCTAAATCATTTTTGTCACTCTATTCTTTCAACTGCTAAGAATAGCAATAATGGTTTTATATTTCTTGCTTTGGAACGATTCTATTTCTTTGTTATTTGGAATAAAAACATTACTTAAGAAGAAAAATCTAGAAAACTCGAATGAGACCTTTTTTGACACATAGTTGATAAATCCAAAAGCACTAGTTTAATTAGAATATTCCAAATTAATCTAGAGTATATGTTTACAATGTACATGTTTATTTTAAACAGATAACCAGTTTTTCCTATAAATATGTTGAATTTTGAAGTGAAGATTCAACAAAATAACAGATAAAGCTAATAATGTAACTTATGTCACAATTTTTTTTTAAATTTCTAGAAGTCATATACTCATAACCAAAATAAAAATTCAGGCCTATCTTCCTACTATATAAGCTGGTTAAAAAAAAACTAAATTAATAGGGTCATCAATATCTATTAATTCTACTCAAGTGCTACAAAAGATTGCATTTACTAAATTAATGCAAAATAATCAAATTTCATGTACCACATCTCAAAGTTAAACTAAAATTGTAAAATAAATCATTTTGAACTAACATGCAAAAACCTACATTTTTATTAAGATTTAAATACCATCATGTTTGTTTGAAGGTGATGGGGTTCAGGAAACATTATCATAAAATATGGCACCTTGGCATTTGAATAAACAGTAAAAGGAGGAAAGTCACTCTGGATTTCCTCAACCCTTCTTCTCTGAAGAAGGCCGTCAAACCTTGGAAGGATTTTGTGCCCGATATGGTTTAGCTGTGTCCCCACCCAAATCTCATCTTGAATTGTAACTCCCATGATTCCCTTGTGTTGTGGGAGGGACCCAGTGGGAGATGAATGAATCATGGGGGTGATTTCCCCCATACTGTTCTAGTGGTAGTGAATAAGTCTCACAAGATCTGATGGTTTTATAAGGGGAAACCCCTTTCACCCGACTCTCTCATTCTCTCTTGTCAGCTGCTATGTAAGATGTGCCTTTTGCCTTTCACCATGGTTGTGAGACCTCACCAGCCACATGGAGCTGTAAGTCCATTAAACCTCTTTTTCTTTTAAATTGCTCAGTTTCGGGTATGTCTTTATCAGCAGCATAAAAACAGACTAAAACAGTGACCTTCCTCTGAAGCAGGTCATAAGACTTCATGTTGAGGTGTCCTTTTACTGGGAAGAAAAGAACATCTCTAAGGACAAAGGGTCACAGAGAAGATTCTAAACAAACAGGCTGTACTATGTCTCCCACAGTTTATCACCATCAGACTATACATTTTTACCGAATTATATTTCTCCATGACTATCCACTTCATCAAATCTAGCATAAAAAATACACACGTTTTCCTGTTTCTTTGGATCTTCATTTCCTTATGAAGGCTCCCATGTCATGTAAAACTTACATAAATTTGTATATTTTCTTCTGTTAATTTGTCTTTGTCAGTTTTCTTTTCAGACCCAGCCAGGGACCCTAAGAGGACTGAGGAAAATCTTCTTCCCCACAAAAGATAAAATATATTTAAAAAGAACTTGGGCAAACCAGAGTCACTTAGGACTCTGCCTTGATTTCTTTAATGTAATATGCTGGAGTTGGAATAGATCATCTCCAAATCCCTTCCTGTTCTCAAACTCTGTGTCTTATGATAGTATTTTTAGATTTCTACTGTTTCAAGGAAAACCAAGGCTAGATGTTTAATCAAACTTTGTTTATTTTCCGCAAGGAATAGATATGTAGTCTAAGTCATTTTGCTTCAACCACCAGTTTTCAACACACAGAATTAAGATATTATTTGACCTCAAATTGTCACAAAGTGTGAAAATGCAGTATGCAATTTTATATGCTTTCTTATGTCTTCTGCGCATTCTGTAAGTTTTTCCTATTTCCCTTCTTCCCATGGTTATAGACTTCAAGCATCTGAATTTTATTTTAAGTCAATTGGAAACATTAGGTTGATGTGGATTATACACAGGGGATCTGAATGGGAAACTTGTTTATTTCATCCATATGGGTTTATTGTAACTTCACCAGAAAAGCCTACAAAAGAGCAACTCAGTGAGAGAGAAAATAGCATTATTTTTATTTTCAACTCCAAAAGGGAAAACTAAAATTTCTTCCCAGGGAGCATTCCATCTAACCAGATCACTCTTATGTTAACAGAATCCAAGCCACGTGGCGCTGCCTTGCACTGCTGAACTTAAAACTACTTATTACTGCACTCCCCTGGAAATCTAATAGAGTTTGAAATTCAGAATACTCAGCATCATCTGACAGGTTTCTCATTTCAAATGGTCAAAACTCCAGAGAAATGCAGGAATCTATGACCCCTTTTATAATGGCCTGATGGTGTTTACTCTACTTGAATACACAAAGGACCTTGTACTCTTGTTTCCCTTCAGTTGCAGAATCAGGCCAGGCAAGGACATGTTTCTTTATGAAGCTTTCCCCAAGCTTCAATTATGGTCATTTGTAACAAGGTGACATTGTCTTTGGTACTGGGGACTTACTAAATTCTCTCCTGAATGAGTCATATTGAGGTACAGTACCTGAGATGAGCAGACTTCTTCAGACTGACTTATTTTTCCAATCTAATTCTCTTCAACATTATTTGGAAAGCTCTGAAAGGATAATAATGGTGTCTTAGTCTCTGATTTTCATGCATTGTCAGAGACTTTACAGACAGTTTAAGTCAAACAATTTAAGCACTTAGCCATATCACAAAAAGAACTATGACTATCCAAAAGTCATAGAAAGGGAAAACACCAATACCTTAAGTGATGGTGAGTTTCATGATTTCTGACATTATGGAATGAAACCTGAAAGGGTTAGGCATTTCTTAACTCTTCAAAGACAGGGATGGTTTAACAGTCAGTTCCTAAAATGCATAGCTTCTCAGCAAATTCAAATACCAGTTCTAAAAGTTATGTGTATTATTATTATTATTATTATTATTATTATTATTATTATTATTTGATGAAGTCTCCCTCTGTCACCCAGGCTGGAGTGCAGTGGCACGATCTCAGCTCACTGCAACCTCCACCTCCTGGGTTGAAGCAATTCTCCTGCTTCAGCCTCCCAAGTATCTGGGACTACAGGCATGCACCACCAGGCCTGGCTAATTTTTTTTTGTATTTTCAGTAGAGGCGGGGTTTCACCATGTTAGCCAGGCTGGTCTCGAACTCTTGACCTCAGGCAATCCGCCCGCCTCGGCCTCCGAAAGTGCTGGGATTTACAGGCATGAGCCACCGCACCCGGCCAGTTATGTGTATTATTTAACTGAGAATCAAACATAGTCACATTCTGAATTCTTTTTTAAATTACATTGCAAATAGAGAAACAAAAATATTTCTGATTCAGGAAATTATGTACACCTATCTAACTAAACTGATCCATCAATCGAGAGAAAAATTTCAATGCTTCAGTAATTACAAATGGAAGGCCTAACTTGGAGATGCCTTTATTGGTAGTAATTGCAAACTCTTATTGAGCACTTAATTCTGTGACTGTGCTTTTTTGTTATTATATTATTTAATCCTGATTATAGCCCAATGCCGTATATAGATTTTACTTTATTACACTTTATATAGATGAATAATAGAGCTGAAGGAAAGAGACTTTGCATCATTTTGCCAAAGGTCATACAACCAGCAGATGGTAAAATGCAACTCAAACCCTGGCTGCTTTAGTGAGCATGCTTTACTCCTTGTAGAAAAGATTTATAAAATGGTTTTGGAGACTATTTTATGAATTTCTAGAAAGTGCTTTCTGAAAAACACGTAGCTATGTCTTTCAAGGACTGCTTGGGTTAATAGACAAGCATTCCTTTGAATTGATTTAGTATAAAGCAAATTGATTGTCCACCTTTTAGATATTATGATGACAGCAAAGCCCGAGAATGTGACCCAAAAGCTAATTGATTTAGTAAAGTTGTGAAAACATTACCTCTCAGAAAAGGGTTCATTTTGAGTAACTTTCTCTCTTTACCCCACAATTCTGTAATGGCTCAGTTACATCCTGAAGTCATCTATATTACTAGGAAAACCGGTCTTCTCTAGTTATATAATTAATTGCCATCCTTTTACTTTCCTTGCCCTAAAGTAGGAAGTGGCAAAGTTTTTCTGCACAGGGCCAAGTAGTAAATATTTTACTTTACAAGTGCCATATGGTCTCTGTCATGTATTCTTCGTTGTTTGGCTTTATTTTGTTTTGTTTTCTTTTTTGCTTCCTTAGGATCCTTTAGAAATACACACATAAAAATGTTAGTTGAGGCTCAAGAGAAGTAGGCCACAGGCCAGGTTTGGCCCAAGAACCAACAGTTTGCAGACCCTTGCCCTAAAGGATTGTGTTTGTGTTCTTGCCTCCTAGACGTTGGTCACAGATAATGATCATTCAAAGTTCAATTATATAAAGTTTAATTAATATATACCTGTGTATATGGACATATAAAGGATGTAACATATATCTATAGAGATTTTTAGACTTTTTGACTTGCAAATTTTGTTTATTTTCATACAGCTAACATCTTATTTCAGAGTTCAAAGTGCTTTGCATGCCATAGGATAATTGCCTTTTTTATTTTTTTTTAGACATATGGCCTCCATAAGTGTTTTTTTGAAGGTTTTCCAAATTATATTCTAACTTGGAAAAGCTATGTTATGTCTTCACATTCATTTCAGATACATTTTCATGATGGAAATTCTGCAAAAATGTCAGTGTTTTGAAACATCCTTAATGATCTTTAACTTTTTTTCAATTTTCGTCTTTGTAAAATGTCCCCTCTTTTGTACTGCCCGCAAATCATCACTCATCATGGAGCTGGGATGAGATATGTACAGTTAGCTGTCACAAGCTGGTACAAGCCAGCTCCAGCACACCACTGGCCTACGTCAGTGTTTATGACCACGGGCAAAAAATAAATAAACAAAAGCTATTAAGGACTATCTTATTCACAGTATTTGTAGCTGGTCTGCAGCTGTCATTTTCAATGTTTCTGTTCAGACCACAGCCCAGAAATAACTAGCCTTGTGTGCTGAGTGATGATATTAGTAGATGTTTTTAAGCATGGCACGTAAACACTGGGTTTGGTGGAATCAATGAGGCATTTAGTAACACTTTTCTCCAATGGGTAGTAAGGACTTTGATCTTTTAGAGCAGTTGTCCCAATATTTTTGGCACCAGGGACCGGTTTCATGGAAGGCAGTTTTTCTATGGATAGGTTAGAGGGATGGTTTCAGGAGGATCCAAGCACATTTTTCGTTAGATTCTCATAAGGAGCCGCTAGATCCCTCGCATGCGCAGTTCATAATAGGGGTCACGCTGATCTAACAGGAGGCGGAGCTCAGGCAATAATGCTCTCTCACCTGTGGCTCACCTCCCGTTGTGTGGCCCAGTTCCCAACAGGCCATGGACCAGCAGCATTCTGCTGCCCAGGGTTTGGAGACCTCTATTTTAGAGTGATCTCAGGTGATCTCTTGGGAGTGGGAGGATCTCTTCCACGTAAGTCTTTCAGGGGATAATTGAGGAATAATTTTATGTCAGGAAAAACACATTTCCACTGAATATTTTGTGAAATGCTTGTATTTTATTTTGGCATTTTAAGCAAAGCTCTTTTGTTCTAACCTCTATCATATCACCTTCCACATTGTTTTAGAATTATCTGTGGGCTTGGACGTTTCCTTACAGGATTTTTAAAGCTCCTTTACAGGTGGAAACATTTTCTTTTGTTTAAATATTTTTTTTATTGCTGGTGCCCACCACACTGAATGACATAGAGAGGATTTCAATGAATATTTTGATTTGTTTATAAATACACAGAGGATAACAATCATGTATATATAAGAGAAAATGTAATATGAATAGAGACTTGATTACAGAAATTAAACAGTGTTACCTCTTCACAATTCTTTTTCATATTTTTGGCTTTTACAACAACAACAACAAAAATTCTAATCGAATGGCAAAAACAACAGCTCAAAGTACAGATGCATTCTTTGTCGTACATGAAATTCTGTTTCTGATAATTACTCTGCCACTGCTAATTGATTTGCAGGTGCAGTTATTTCTGAAATCTTAATAACATTCCAGGCATATTAGCAGGTATATCTCATCAGACTCCTTCTGAAACAGCAGTAAGATAGTTTCATTTTAATCATGTACAACAAGCCAAAAATATGATTGAGGAAAACCTCATGTCTACAGACAATTCGCTAAGTCTCTTGTGCAGTCTCTTCCTATATAATTTGGTTTGGCTAATGGCATTGCGTTGGATGCATGTAATATGGTTTAGTTTATTGAGAGAATATAGAACAAATACATCTGACTTCTGCCTCCAGTAATGGTAGCTGCAGACATGGACCAAAATATGCAGAACAAGTTTTTAAGAGCACACACAAGATAGAGAGAAATTCGTGGGCAAAATGGAGAAAAATGTGGATATCGAGACGGGCGAGTTTTGCATTTGAGGCCACGTTTGTTCAGAGGACATATGTAGACTTAGAATAAGCAGAACTCTCTCTCTGTCTCTCTCTGTCTCTGTGTGTGTGTGTGTGTGTGTGTGTGTGTGTGTGTGTGTATGTTTAGGTCAAGTATAGGTGGCGTTTTGGAGGTATAATACACAGATGGTAAAATTCATTTCTTTAGTGCATTTCTATTAGTTTTGATGAATGCATAAAGTTTAGTAGCCTTTGCTATTAAATGAATATAGAGATTTCCATCATCCTTAAATTTCCCTTATACTTCTTTGTCAATATTTTTCCTCAGTCCCCCAGACCCTGAGTCTGATTTTCATTCTTATAGCTTTGTCAATTTAAAGATATCATATAAATGAAATCATGCCCTACCATTTTGTGCAGACTTCCTTCCTTAGCATAATGATTTTAGATTTATTCAGTACTGAGTATTCTACTGTACAAATATACCACAGTTTATCCATTCACTGGTTGATGAATATTTGAGTGCTTCCCAGGTTTTTGGTTATAAGAAACAAGACTACTATTAATATAAACAATACTGCATGGGCTTTTGTGTAAACATGTTTCTACTTCTCTTAGTTAAACACCTAGGAATGTGATTGTATATTATAGGGTACTTGTATGGTAAGTGTATATAACTTTGTATAAGAAGCTACTATGCTGTTTTTCAAAGTGGTTACACAGCTTTGCATCCCCATCAGTAATGTATGAAGTATTAAGTTATTCCATGTCATCACCAACACTTGGTATTGTCAGGTTTTCTTTTTAATTATAGTCTTTTTAATAGGTATGTAGTGGAATCTCATAGTCTTCATTCTGCATTTGCTGAAAACTGAAGATGTTAACTATCATTTCATGTATGTTTTTTGCCATTCATATATTTTTTCTTGGTGAAGTATTTTTCCAAACCCTTTACTCCCTCCCGCTTTTACATTGTGTTGTTTTCTTATTATCAAGATGTAAGAGTTATTTATGTAGTTGAATAAAATATATCATTTGCAAATATTTACTCTCAGTGGATTGTCCTTTTATTTTATTTATAGTACCGTTTTAAGAGTAGAAGTTGTGAATTTTGATGAAGTCCAATATAGACATATTTTCTTATATGATTTATATGAATGATATTCTAGCTAAGAATTTTTTGTCTAACACATGGTAATAAACATATTCTCCTATGATTTCTGTAGAAATTCTATGATGGATTTGAATCCCTTTTGTATATGATGTGAGGTATGGATTAAACTTTATTTTTGTATAGATTTGTAAATTTTTCAACTTCATTTATTAAGTCTATTGTCTTCCATGGAATTACCTTTACAGCTTTATAAATAATGCATCAAGCATGTTTTTCCACTTCTGGGCCCTTGATTCTGTTCCATTGAGTGATATGACTCTCATTTTTAAAATATAATACTGTTTTGATTATGAAACCTTCAAATCAGGTACTGTAAGGTCTCTAATTTTGTTCCTATCTTTACAAAATTGTTTGCCTATCCTATATCCTTAGACTCTCTATATAATTTTGGAATCAGCTTGTTATTTTTTACATAAAATCCTGCTGTGATTTTTGTTGCCACTGATTGTTCCTCAGCTGTATTGAGTTTACTGATACATCAATTAAAGGAATTATTCATCTCCAATATTGTGGTTTGTTTGTTTTTAGTTTTTCTATTTGATTCTTTTAAAATGCTTCTGTCTGCTGGATTTTTACATTTGTTTATAAATGTTTTCTACCTTTTCCACTGGATTTCTTAGCATATTAATTATAATTATTTTAAAGTCCTTATCTGCTAACCCTAATATCTGCTTCATATCCGATTCTGGTTCTGTCAATTGCGTCTCTTGAAAGTATTTCTATTTTCTTGGTTTTTAAATTGCATAATTTCAAAAAGTTTTTCTTCTCTTACACTCCTATAAGAAAATATTACCCTTTCTTTCTTTGAATTCAATTTATTTTGACCTGAAGATTTCATACTTTATAGTTCTTCTGCTATAATCTTCTTAACTCAGATAGTAGCGTTTCTTCTTTCTAGTCATTCAGGTCTCAGCTGGAGTGTCCACTCAGGAATTCTCAAGTTGTATATAAAATAAATTTACTTTATTGCTTCTGTATTTAATAATAAAAATTTTCCTCTAACTTTGGTTATATGACAACAGTATTGATGCTTATTAGTCACAGTCATATTGCTAAAAATTATTTCATTCTTTGGGAATAATATATATATATATATAATATAAAACACATGTTTAACTTTTCATGTTTGGGTAATTTTATATACAATATTAATATACTTTATTAATTTTAATTGATTCTGGTAAAAAATGTAGTTTTTGGAATTATTCCTTTTAAGAATTAAAAATTTTTTTCTCCATTGCCTAATATATGATTGATAGTTTGTACCATGAGTATATTCACTTAATAATGCACAAATTTTAATTCCTTTTTAAACGATTAAGCTAGTCATTTAATTCTAATCTTATTTCTTGGTCTTTCAAAGATTAATCTATTTCTAATCCTATTTCTTTCTTGGTCTTTCAAAGATTAATATTTCCGATAGTTTCTTCTTTTTAAGCTGCTCTGACTTTATACATTTTCTTGTATACCACATAGTAAGAGGGTTTTATTGTTGGTATCTTAAAATACTTTTTTTTCATTGCATGCATAATTCCATAGAAAGGTATGTCACAAAATTATTGAGCACAAAAAATTCTGAAATGTAATTGCTTTGCTTTGTTTACAATTCCAAATATATTAAGTTTATACATTCATGTATTATTTAAGTATCACCAATTCTCAGCATCTTCAATGAAACTCACTTTTGTATAGCCCCTACTACAAAATTCATAAATAGTGAATTTTATCCTAAATATAAAAGGGTATATTAGCGGGCACGGTGGCTCATGCCTGTAATCTCAGCACTTTGGGAGGCTAAGGCGAGTGGATCACCTGAGGTCAGGAACTCGAGACCAGCCTGGACAGCATAGTGAAACCCCCTCTCTACTAAAAATACAAAAAATTAGATGGGTGTGGTGGCAGGCTCCTGTAATCCCAGCTACTAGGGAGGCTGAGGCAGGAGAATCGCTTGAACCCAGGAGGCAGAGGTTGCAGTGAACCAAGATTGTGCCATTGCACTCCAGCCTGGGCAACAAGAGTGAAACTCCTCCTCAAAAAAAAAAAAAAAAAAAAAGGGTATATTTAGAAGAAAACTAAAGTTCTACTACTGGCATGTTTCTGAAGCTGTAAGCTGTCTTTATATTGAGTTTATTTAATATTTGTTATTATTATTTGTTTAAAGTTGGCAAATTAAGATGGTGAAATAAATTCTCAGTATCTGACCTGTGTTAAAACTTTAGATGATTATTTATAAATAGGATATAACCTTGTTTAGGAATAAGATTTTTGTCAGTATATTTAATTTTCCCCACCTTTTTGATGTGGTTACAATTATTTAAATTTTTTCCTAGCAAAAAAAAAAAAGACCTATTTTTTATTCTCAGCTATCCATCACATTTCTAAAAATAATACTATGATGCAAAATTCCAAATATCGAAAATGGATTCCAACAGATTCGTGTACTAACTTGCTGTATCAAAATAAGTGTGAAGTGGATTCTGAAGCTCTCTTTGGCACCTCAGTAGCACTCTTAAGTTTCTTTCAATGATATTATAGTTCTGGATATAAAAGATGTTTAATGCATATAAGATGAATAAACAAATGGGAAATAATAAATGAAGGCATGCATACAAAATTATATTACAATCTTTTGAATTTAAGATGTTAAAATGGTTTTTCAATAACCAAAATAAATCTTTCGTTCTTAAATCTTCCTTTTTCACCTTGGAGTTTGTTCAAATTATTAGCTTTTATCTAAATCTTGTTATAATTGAACCCTATCTGAAGCATGTGTAACTACTTCTTAGGTATAATTAACAGCTATACTTTATTTCACACAATGAAATACAGATATGAGGTCCAACAGATATTGTGTACAATGTTCATTAATCACCAAGTTCAAATACACATTTTTAGGTGCATTATTTAGCACTAAGATATTGATTTATTGAATTATTGCTAGTTTGACATTTTATTTTTTAAAGAAAACAGTAATTCAGGGATAATGTGGTACATTAGCAGTGATAGGCAGTGATTCAGCTTGTTAAGCACAGAATTTGATGAAGCTGTGTCTCTGCCAGGTTTTGATATCAGGATGATGCTGGCCTCATAAAATGAGTTAAGGAGGATTCCTTCTTTTTCTATTTTTTAGAATTGTTTCAGGAGGAATGCTACCAGCGCTGTTTGTACCTCTGATAGAATTTGATTGTGAATCCATCTGGTCCTGGACTTTTTTTGTTGGTAGGCTATTAATTGCTGCCTTAATTTCAGAACTTATTATTGGTCTGTTCAGGGATTTGACTTCTTCCTGGTTTAGCCTTGGGAGGGTGTATGTGCCAGGGATTATCCATTTCTTCTAGATTTTCTAGTTTATTTGCATAGAGGTGTTTATAGTAGTCTCTGATGGTAGTTTGTATTTCTATGGGATCAGTGGTGATATCCCCTTCATCATATTTTTTTTTGTCTATTTGATTCTTCTCTCTTTTCTTCTCTATTAGTTTGGCTAGTGGTTTATCTATTTTGTTGATCTTTTCAAAAAAATAGCTCCTGGATGCACAGATTTTTTGAAGGGTTGTTTGTGTCTCTATCTCCTTCAGTTCTGTTCTGATCTTATTTCTTGTCTTCTGCTAGTTGTTGAATTTGTTTGCTCTTGCTTCTCTAGTTCTTTTAATTGAGATGTTAAGGTGTCAATTTTAGATCATTCCTGCTTTCTCTTGTGGGCATTTAGTACTATAAATTTCCCTCTACACAGTGCTTTAAATGTGTCCGAGAGATTTTGGTGCATTGTGTCTTTGTTCTCATTGGTTTCAAATAACATCTTTATTTCTGTATTCATTCCAGGTTGTTCAGTTTCCATGTAGTTATACAGTTTTGAGTGAGTTTCTTAATCCTGAGTTCTAATTTGATTGCACTGTGGTCTGAGAGACTGTTTGTTATGATTTCTGTTCTTTTACATCTGCTGAGGAGTGTTTTACTTCCAATTATGTGGTCAATTTTAGAATAAGTGCGATGTGGTGCTGAGAAGAATGTATATTCTGTTGATTTGGGGTGGAGAGTTCTGTAGATGTCTGTTAGGTCCTCTTGGTCCAGAGCTGAGTTCAAATCCTGGATATCCTTATTAATTTTCTATCATGTTGATCTGTCTGATATTGACAGTGGGGTGTTAAAGTCTCCCACTATTATTGTGTGGGAGTCTAAGTATCTTTGTAGGTCTCTAAGAACTTGATTTATGAATCTGGGTGCTCCTGTATTGGGTGCATATATATTTAGGATAGTTGAAGCTACAAATACATGTCAAATTACCCGTAGAAAATTATCATATATAAGAGACCTCTTTTAAAAACAGTAAAGGAACTAATGGAAATGAGCACATGAAAATTATACTGCAGTCTTCTCAGAACACGTATAAAATGATCTTTTGTAGAGCAAACAAATCAGGTGAGATTGCATTGCTAAAATAAAAGAAAAATATTGAAATGATAATGAACACGCTCTAAGGATATGCTACTAAATACTACATACATTCTAGATTCTATTGGGAAAAAAATCACCTTGAAGTATTTGTGAGTGTTATTAAAACACTAGGCAAATCTAACTTATATTAATAACAATGTTTTATATATGTGTGTGTGTGTGTGTGTGTGTGTGTATATATATATATAACATATAGGGCCTGTATGTGAAATTATCCCACAGCTTTTCAGAAAAAAGAGAACAGAATGTTTTCTAGTGACATTGAAGAAATGTGACTAGAAAATGTCTAGTGACATTGAAGAAATGTAGTATGTATACTTACTGTGTCAGGGATGCTCGGAATATACAGATGGTCTGCATTGTATTTTTTTTTTCATTACCATGGAATACTGTAATTGTGGGCTGGTAGAAAGACAATGGATCACATGTGTTTCAAATTATTTTCTTTTAGATTACTTTCTTATTTATTAATAATGTATATTTGTTTTCCCCAAAAACACAAGAAAATAATAAAAAATACACTTTAAATGAATAAACTACATAAATCTTCTGGAATTCTTATAATTTCAGAATTTTCAAAAAAATGAAATCAAAATATTTTAACTGAAAGTAAATTAAGTATAGCATACCCTATGATTATCCATAATAGAACAACTAGAGTAACAAATCATTTTGAAAATATCTGCTTTGGCCCAGTTCTCCACATCTCTCCCATCTAGGACTTGCACAGCACCTCTGCTTCTTCTAAGGAAGATCTATTGGCTCTTCCATCTCATGGGAGAATGACTCAGCAGAACTAATTGGTAAATGAAGCTTCTTTTTCTGAAGTTATTTTTTCAGTTAATGTAGTGGTAGCTGGAGCTTTTCAGGAACAGACATTAATGTTAAGTTTTGCAATTTGTTGATGTCCTGCAGTGGTTGTTCCTCACTGTTTATTAGTTTAGATTTAAGCTAGGATGCATTAGGCACATCATCAATTGTGCCTGTGGAATTTAGTGCCTAAAGCAAAGTCACTATCTTGGTAACTTTGTTATAGAGTTCAGTTTTAGAGACACAAACAGAGTAAAATCACATTCGCTAGAAATGTGCAAGACGCTATCTGAAGGGAAGATTTCACAATGCCCTTGGGGGCTATCATTAGTAGTGAACAGGGGACATTCAGATTAAAATATTGTCTACATTATATAGGTATAACACTATTACTGATAAAGAAATCATACAAAAAACATAAAGGTAATGGCAATAGTTGTCAAACCTGTAATTCTTAGAAGTTGTACTAATGTTGACAGATTATCTTTGTTTCAATTTTTTTTTTACCTGTTCTGATTAACATTATAATGTGGAAACAGAGGATAGAGTATAATTTTCTAATTTAATTTTTTCTACTTCAGTATTTTATTATTTTAAGGTAAGTATCACATATCTGTTTCACATCTTGCTATTTATAGTATTCTGTTTCATTTGGTAAATAGTGTAATAACAATGAATGGCAACCCACAAGGAAAACAGTGATTCTTTATAAATCATTTTTCAATGACATGACAAAATTCAATTACTTTTTATGGCTTTACACTTGATTTTCCTTGTGTATATGTGTACAAAATAGGGAAATCCCCTTATTGGGATGATATTGATGATTACTATGGCATCCTAACTCCCACATTCCCAGCTAAGTTTTCATCTGGGCCATCAACAGTTTCCATAATTGTTTTTTGCTAGGATCTTCCACCTGCATAGTTCTTTAAATACCATCATTTAGTCATTTATATTCAGTTTTACCATGCCAGGCAATAAGAAAAGCAATCAGATTTTCTATTGTATATTTTACTTAAAAAATTGACTAGTTCATTCATTCATTCAACAAATACTGCCAGAGTAGCTACTGTATAGCTACAAGACAAATATATGCTAAAGATTCCCTTAGTGGCTAAATGTGTAATATTATCTCGCTAATATAAACGTGTAAAAAAACTAATATTAGTTTCTTACACTGCATTATTTTCAATACAAATCATTTTTCCAATACGCTAAGCTTCTTTTTATTTTATGTAGTGGATATAGCTATCCACCTACAATGCCCAGAAACCTATTGTTTTTTCTTTTTTCTTTTCTTTTTTTTGAGAGGGAATCTTGCTGTGTCGCCCAGGCTGGAGTGCAATGGCATGATCTCGGCTCACTGCAGCCTCCGTCTCTGGGGTTCAAGTGATTCTCCTGCCTCATCCTCCCAAGTAGCTGAGATTACAGGCACGCACCACCATGCCTGGCTAACTTTTGTATTTTTACTAGAGATGGGGTTTTATCATGTTGGCCAGGATGGTCTCGATCTCCTGAACTCGTGATCCACCCGCCTCAGTCTGCCAAAGTGCTGGGATTACAAGCGTGAGCCCCTGCACCCAGCCCAGACCCTAATTTTTAGCACATCCTTTGTAGCTGTATTCTCAAACACTGTCGCATTTCTGACTTTTACTTTATTCCTCCTTAAAATTTTCTGTCAAAACTCAGTTTCCTCTTCCATATTCAGAATTACCAGTTGATTTCTAGTTTTAATAGAAACAACAATCTTTATGCATCAATTTCTATTTTTTTTAAAAGAAACAAAACCAACTCTGGATAACTGAAGAAAGTTTAGAGAACTGGAGTTTGAAACAGCCACTTACTCAAATCCTGCACTACAATGAAATTGAACTGATTCTTTCATCCTTGTGTACTGAATTCTGTGTTCTAAGAGTTACATAACCAGGAACTGAGAGATGAAGTCAATAATCTGTTATAAATGTAGACTGGTGCTTTGCTTGCCAAAATATTTTTTACATCTTTACTTGTTGTTACGGGTTGAACTGTGGTCCTCCAAAAGATGTTGAAGTCCTAATCTCCAGTACCTATGAATGTCACTTTATTTGGAATAAAGGGCTTTTGCATATGATCAAGTTAAGATTAGGTCATTAATCCAATATGATGGGTGTCTTTATGAAAAGGGGAACTTTGCATACAGGAATAGACATGCCCACAGAGATAACACCATATGAAGTTGAAAGCACAGCTCTAGGTGATGCATCTACAAGCTGAGGAATGCCAAAGAGTGCTAGCAAACAACCAGAAGCTATGAGAGAGGCACGGAACAGATTCTTACAACCCTCAGAAGCAACCAATCCTGCTGACACATCAATCTTGAACTTCTAGCCTCTAGAACTGTGAGACAATTTTTCTGTTCTTTTGACCACCCAGTTTGTGGCATTTTGTAACAGCAACCCTGGGAAAATAATACAGTTGTCTTGTAAAACAGATGCGAAGGTTGGAATGTGGGTTCACATACAAAAAGTTTTTTCCCAACGTTTTAGATTCTCAATGTTGAATTATTTCTCTCTGTTTCAACCAATGATTTCTGCTCTCCTACCCCCAACATTCTTGACAACCACTAGTTTCAGGTTTAAATGATTCCATCCAGAAAATCATGAGGACAACATCAGGTGCAGCTTACTTGCTGCACTAAGAGTCACTGGTAAATAAAGACCTAACAACGCCGCACCTAAGTCAGTTCCTGCAATAATCACAGTTCTACAATTAGGTTTTGCACATACTGACTGCCTTCATAACAAGTTTTCATATAAAGCTAGTTACTATTGATTCAGTGGTATGATACGGTGATAATGAGGAGAGAGGAAAAAGGGGCATTTTTGGTTCCATCCTACAAGTGTGATCTCTCAGGTAAAGGCAGGATGACATCTTCAAGCAAAGGAAAAGCTTCTGTAAATGAGGGAGAAGGTGCTCTGTTCTTGAGGATTATTAGTTGGGGAAGAACTAAAAAATTCAGAGGCCTTCTGAATCATTTGATTTTTCTTAAATATCCCCCTTTTTTTTTTGTTCTACTCTTTTTGGCCAATGTCCTATATTTACATGAGACTTAGGCCAAGACGTGAATTTATCTGAACTTATAATTTGGCCATTTGCAGCAACAAATTCTAAACTTTGGCTTCTATTCACTTAGTTCAGCAGATAAATAAATGAGACCCTTTTACAATTACAGAACTCTATTCACATCATTCTATTCCTCAAAACAAGAAGGTAGGTATTTAAGGCCGGGCGTGGTGGCTCACGCCTGTAATCCCAGCACTTTGGGAGGCCGAGGTGGGCGGATCACAAGGTCAGGAGATCGAGACCATCCTGGCTAACACGGTGAAACCCCATCTCTACTAAAAATAAAAAAAATTAGCCAGGCGTGGTGGCGGGCGCCTGTAGTCCCAGCTACTCGGGAGGCTGAGGCAGGAGAATGGCGTTAACCCGGGAGGCGGCAGTGAGCCGAGATCGCGCCACTGCACTCCAGCCTGGGCGACAGAGTGAGACTCCATCTCAAAAAAAAAAAAAAAAAAAAAAGGTAGGTATTTAACTTTATTATTCTTTGACTTTAAATTATCTAAGACATCAGAAGCCACCTCTGCAGTTCTGTAATTCCTCATCCTTTCATGTCTTATTCCTGTGTTACGTGAATGTTTCGTCTTCAGTATTTCATCTGTAAAGTCCTTCACCAAATTATTGCTTTTAAAAAGGGCTGCTGATTTTTACAAAGGCTGTGCTCACTTGAGGAAGCAGGATGTTACATGTGTCTCTTTTAGTTAGAACTTGCAACATAAAATGAAACTTTCCACAAATGCCTGAAACCTGTATCGAACATAAGGGCCCCAAGAATGTAATTGTTCTATCATATAGTTGTGCAACAAGCTACATGAAAATTTCAATGCTATTACACATAAAAAATGATATATTCTGCTTACAAATGTGTAATTTTAGCAGGGATTGGTGGAATCATCTAAACTTCACTCAACATGGTGTTAGCTGGGGAAGTTCCCCTGGGCTAGAAGATCCACTTCTAAATGATTCAGTCTTGCAACTGGCAATTTGATGCTAGCTATTGAGTCTCTCCATGGGGTTGGGAGCTTGGGCTTTTTCACTGCTTGGGGACTAGTTCACAGGAACAAATATTCCAAGAGTCAGAAAGTAGATGGTGTCATTCTCCTAAGGACTGAACACAAATACTGGCACATTATCACTTTTACCATATTCTGTTGGTTAAGCAGCAGCAGAACCTGACATGAAGGGAGGGACATAGATGTGATAGGAGAAGTGTTAACAAATTTGAAGCCTTTTTTTCAAAACTATCACTGCAGTATTTGCCATGTTCCCTGAAATAGGCTTTGTTTCTCATACTTATGTAATATTATTTTTAATGTTTGGCTAAGCATTTAGGTCAGAGATAAAAGATAATCCTTGCACGCAAATGGACTCTTGATAGAATCCTATGACTTAAAGGTTCCCCTAAGAAAAGACCCTTGCACTCTGCTGATATGCAAGAACTAAATCTTACTTTAAGAAATGCATTCTTCTTCTACATCCTTGAAAAGCAAATTGATCACCGTGCAGTGTTTTGCAGTGATTCAAGTAATTTAATGTCATTCTCATCAAATACATCTCATCCTATATGAAGTAGACCTATTAAATGACTATTTTTCTCACTTTGTCTCACAGTATAATTTCTCTTAAAATCTCTTTTCTACTGAGGGGATTCCCTATCTGGCTGTATCTTACCTATATCCAGATTTCCTCTACTAAGGTGGATTATATTGTATTGTAATACTCCTTACTTGGCTAGTTTTCCCATGAGAGCTTGTAGTCGAGTTGGAACATGTGTGAACTCTTTTACCATGGGGAATTGAGTTCAACCTGGACTAAATAAGCTTGCACAGCTCTGCTAATGACAAGATATCTGGTCTAATAGAATCACATATAATCTTAAATTGCATAAGGGAGAAAAGGACTATCTTTCTAGATATGGCAGACTTCCTGACATATCTCAAAACGATCAAAGATTATCTCTTGGAATTTATTGAAATAAGATTAAGCGTGATGCCTTATCTTTTAACTAATTTCAATAATTCTAATGGTAAATTTAAGAGAACTGGATTTTAGAAAATGAGTTCCTTAGTTTTTAAAAACTTAGTTGCTTTTATTTTAGAATACATGAGGAAGGTTGGCAGAATCAAAAAATTTTGCAGAGCTGGTGAAAAAGTCTAAACTCTCTGGATCGTGTAACACGGACAAAATATATCTTAAAGCTTAAACAGCTTCTTGACAACTTGAACTCATTAAGAGGTCTACTCTGAAGAGCTTTTGGACTTCGTTTTATGTTTTCTGTATATAATGAATATAATCATTTCAAGAAATGTTAATGTTAATGTTAGACTTAGTATAATTTCACACTAACACTACATTTCTGGAACCAGAAAAATTGAGTCAATATTACTTTAAATTTTCACTGCATATAATAATATCTAGGTTAAAACTTATTTGATCTAAGTCATTCATTAAGACATTCTTAGAACAAATAAAATTTTACACATTAATTTCCAATTTAACAAAATAGAAACGATGTATGGGCTACTTGTGCTCTTCTCTGTGTCAAACTTTAAAAATATTGCCAAAGTAGTAGGGAAATTAATGGATTTGAAAAATTCACATGAAAAATACCAGGAAACCCAACAAACAAGTGGTTGGGTATATTGTCAGAGGAAATGGTAGGCCTAAGTACAAGAGTGCAAGATGTCAGTAAAGTAGCATTATTTTGTATCAGATTTTTTTAATGTGTGTCTTTTCATTTTCCACATCACCTTGAGTAAAATATTTTCTGTGGCTTCTTTTCTATTTTGCAAATCAGAAAAATATTAATTCTGTCTCAATGTTGTCTAAGAGATGCTTTAGAGTCCAGTGGGGTGGGGAGCTTGTTACAAATTCCCTCTTAATAGACATTTCTTTGGAAAAAGTAGGTCTTGTGGCCGAAGTGCCAAGGAGGCAGGGTCTTTGGTCTGGGGACGGAGAAACTAAACACAGAGTAGTTAAGTCCTATTATAATATTTGCTCCAACTGCCCCAAGATAGTTCTGAACACCACCGACACCCCTTCATCTCACCTTTCACACCTTTCCCCAGGTATGACATTTAATATTTATGTTAGCTGATAAAACATACAATATGGGCTCACAAAAAAAATGATGAAAAACTTGAGCAGTGACAGTGCACATTCAATGGAATACATTCAACTGAATGACATTTCTAGACAAAACAAAATTAATGAAACCATAAAACAATAATTTATATTTTGCCTATTAAATAATTCCCAAGAACTAAGGGATGCTACTGGAAATAAAATAAACAAAAGTCTTAAAATATATCCAGCTGAAAATATTGTATACTAATAAAATATTAGAGGTGAAATTAATAAATTAGTAATGGAATAAATTTAGCCACAGAACAAAGCATAGTAAGCTGGAAAACTAAATAAAGAAATTTTGCCAGTGATATTATTTTGGTTGCCTATTTATCAATATACCAAATAGCAGGACAGTATATTGGGCTCTGGATTCATAGCCTAACTTTAAAATTCTAGCTTTCTCATTACCAGGTGTTTGTGCTTAGACACATTATGTCAAGCTCTTTATGCATTAACTATGTTATAATAAGATGGAGTTATACAATGATAATTTGGTCAGAGAAAGTGCAGATTAAATCAGTTGATACACATAAAGTATTTAGAAAAGTGTCTGGCATCTAATAAACATTTACTAAATGTTAGGTATTGCCATCAAGTGGATAATTTTATATTTAAATGCTTTTATCAGAAAAAAAGAAAGTCTGAAATAATATAAGCTAAATACTGCCTTAAGAAGTTAGAAGAAAAGGAACACAGTACATCCCAAGCAAACAAGAAATAAATAATAATAATCACCAAAAATGAATTAGATAGAGACAGCGATTTCTGCCACAAAGATGAGCAAAAGCAAATGTTAGCTATTTGATATTATACAGAGATTTCTTAAAATTCCACCAAAATGGATAAAAAATACAAGGAGTGAAAGCATTAATATTTCAGAATAAAACATGATGTTATTTGATACTGTTTATTAATTTGAGGAAGATTATTTCTATTTCTAGTTTCCTGAGAGTATTTTTTAGTGAATGGGTAATATGTTGCTTAAAGTGATTTTTCTGCCTCTATAGATATTATCACATGGATTTCTTTTTTTGTAAAGCCTATTAAGATGTTAAATTATATTTCTTGATTTTTGAAGGTTAATAAAACTCACTTTCTTGGGATAAATTACACCCGAATTATTTTCTTTTTGTAATATACTGGGGTTTTTTTATTGCTAAAATTGTATTAAAGGTTTTTGTGACTGTGTTCATGAGGGATATTAGTTTGCAGTTTTCTCTTCTTATAATATCATTGTCTTGTAATGGTATTGGGAAAACACAGGACTTATAAAATGAATTGTATTCTTTCCTCTACTATGTCTACAAGAAAACGGGTATTATTTTTTTACCTAAATGTTTCATAAAATTTATCAGTGAAGCCATGTGGGTCTGGAATTTAACATTTTGTTATTGTTTGTTTCTTTGTTTTGTGAGAAAAATTTAACCTACCACCTACTTTAATAAATATGAAGCTATTTATCTACTTGTTGAAAGAGTTTTACTGATTTCTATCTTCCATGCAATTTGTTGTAGAATATATTGCATATAATGACTAAGTTGTGGAATATATTAGCACAAATTGTTAATTGATAGTTTTTTTCCCAGTCAGTCTGGGTAAATCTTGTCATTTTATTGAACTTTTCAAAGAATTAACCTTTACTTTCATTGATTTTCTCTGTGGGTTTTGTTCACAATACTCTTGTCTTCTGACCTTAACTTTATTACTTCTGTTCTTCTGTTTATTTGGGACACTTTTTATTTTTCTTATTTCTTAAAATAAATGCTTAAGTAATGTACTTAAAACTTTTTAAAAAAAATACAGGCATACTAGAAATGCTTTAAATACATTCTGCAAGTGTTGATAATGTTATGCTTTCATTTAAAAATTTTCAAATATTCAAGGATTTCTGGAGATCTTTTTGTTATTAATTTATAATTTAATTCCACTATGTTCAGAGTACCAACTGTCTGATTTGGATACTTTGAAATTTATTAAGAGCCGCGTTATGGCCCACAATATAAACGATGTTGGTGAATGTCCCATCTATTATTTAAGGTATCTTCTAATGTTGTTGTCTATAGTATTCTAAAACTGCTAATTAGATTGAGTTAGTTGAGAGCATTGTTCAAGTCTCCTGTATTCTTACTTTTGTGTATTTGTTCTATCAATTACTGAGAAAGAAATGTGGCTTTATCGATATCTCTTTCATTTCTATTCATTTTGCATCATATATTTTCAAGCTCATTATCAGTAGCATACACAGTTAGAATTGTCATGTCTTGATGACTTCACATATTTGTCATTGTAAAATGTCTCTATCTCTGGTAATATTCACCATTATTACATGTACTTGTCTCATATTAATACAACCACTCCAGCTTACTTTTGATTGATGTTTGTATTGTATACTTTGTTCCAACTTTTTACTTGAGTCATGTATGTATCTTCATATTTTAAGTGGCATTTTACAGATATCAAAATAGCCGGGTCTTGTTTTTTTTAATCTACCAGGCAAACCTGCTTTTTAATTGGGATATTTAGACCTTTTACATTTAATTGATTTATATATTTTGTTGTTTGCTATTTATTTAATATTATCTTCTCTGTCATTTGTTACTTTTAAATATTTTATTGCTTTCTGCTGAATTAATTAAAATTTTTAAGATTTAATTTTACCTCTATTTTGGATCTTGTATCTATATTTTTATGTTTAATTTTTTAATAATTGCTTTGACATTGATAATATACATCTTTATTTATGACAGTTTACTTTCAAATAATATTAAGCCAGTTCACATGTAACATAAAATCTATGACAGTATACTTTCATTATCTTTTTTTGCCTTTTTTACTTTTGTCACCATATACTTTATCTTTGCATTAAGTAGTAAATTATCTTTTAAAAGAAGTACAATATTAAAAGCTTATTTCCTACTTCCCCACATATTTTACTTAGGTACAGATTTTTTATCTGCTATAATTTTTCATCTACTTTGAGGACTTCCTTTATTATTTCTTAGAGTACAATCTGCTGTAAGTGAATTTACACAGCTTTTGCTTGTCTGAAATAGCCTTTATTTTTTATTTATTATTGTATTTTTGCTGGGTAAAGAATTCTAGAATGATATATTATTCTTAGCACTTTAATAATATTACTCAATATTGTAGTTGTACAGTTTCTGATGAAAAACATACTGTATATTTTACATTCCTTTCTCTAGAGATAATTTGTCTTTTTTTCTGTCTGCTTTTAGAATTGTATTTTTATCAATGGATTTCAGCAGTTTGATTAGGATGTTCCTGGGAGTATCTTTGTTTATTCTTCTGGAGGTTCATTAAGTTCGTTGCACCTGTGGATTTATAGTTTTTGTCAGTTTTAGAAAATGGTAAATGTTTATGTCTTCAAACCACTCCCTTGATTCTCTTTCTGAGACATCAATTACACATTTAAAACAATTGCTGTTATACTTTAATGTCTTGTTTTTCAGGCCTTATTTTCTCTGTATACTTCATTTTGGATAGTTTCTATCACTGTATAACCAAATTCATTTTTTTCTGAGTTTCTAATGTGCTTCTATTCTAACCAAGTGAATTTTTAAAAATTCAGGCCTTACATTTTTGCTTTTGAGTGTCTTTCTTTTTAATCTTCCATTGCTATCCTTATCAAGCTCCTGTTTTTTCTTCATTCTTGAATATACAGTATATACCATAGCTTAATATCCTTGCCTTCTAGCTTGATCATCAGGGTCTCTTTCTATTGGATATTTTGTCCCTAGTTAAGGATAATGCTTTTCTACTTCTGTGCATGCCTCGTGATTTTCTTATTTGATGCCAGGTATGGAAAACAGTAAATTTTAAGTTACTTATTACTACATCTTATTATATTTCTATAAATAGAGATTTAGTGGTTTGTTGTTGTTGTTGTTGTTTGTTTGGTTTTGGTCTGCTATGAAGCTAAGTTTTTAAGGGTTTCTCCAAACTAGTGTTTTGTCCAAGAATAATTTATCCCAACACTTCAATGCTACATTTCTATCAATTCCACCTAATGTTCTAATATTATGATGTCTATTCCCTCTGGATAGTGGGAACACAAGTTTTTCCAAGACCTGTGTGAATGCCAGAAGCTTGCTGCCTATTGCTTTCGAGTTTTTCTTTCCAAGATTTAGGTAATATTATCTCACCCTTATGCAAACTGCTGTTAGGAAAACACTTGAAGGGGCTTTAACTTCCTTTAAAATTTCAAATATATTAACTGAAAACTCTTTGTAGCATTCTCTAAATAAATATTGAGCATATGTTGCATCTGTAGATATTTTTCTCATTCTGAAAAACATTACTTTTAGAGTCATGTCAAAGAACTAACTTTGTTGATTCTCTAACTGGTGTCTCTGTTTTCTATTTCATGAATTTCTGTTGTTGTATTTGCAACTTTGTTCTTTCTACGTGTCTGTGATGAATTCTCTTATTCTTTTCCATGTCTTTCAGTTGAACATTTATGTCATCAATATTCAACATTTCTTCCATTCTAATATAAGTATGTATATACATTAATTGCCATCAAGTTACTCTTTTATTTTCTTCCTGTGAGGTTTAAAATGGCATAGTATCATTAGTATTCTGTTCTGGAGTTTATTTTAAGATTTGTATTCTGACTTTTTTTACTGATGAATAACTTAAAGTGCATTTAAGTATATAAGTTTATGCATTTTTGCTATGTTTTTCAATTTTTACTGACCAAATTGACTTTAGCTTAGAGATTATCTTATATATACAGTATCAGTTCTTTAACATTTATTAGGATTTTGTTTATAAATGAGTATGTGATCAAATTGTGTAGTGTCCTAAGGGTTTGAAAAGAAGGTATTTTATTCTATGATTTTTTGTTCTATATATGTCCATTAAATAAATCCTGAGGCCAGCTGTGGTGGCTCATACCTGTAATTCCAGCACTTTGAAAGGCTGAGGTGGAAGGATTACCTGAGCCTAGGAGTTTGAGACCAGCCTAGGCAACATAGTGAGACCCCATCTTTTTTTAGAGAAAAATAACTTCAAAAAAATAAGTAAAGAAATATATAAGTCTTGAAGCCAAGCATGGTGTCTCATGTCTATAGTCTTAGCACTTTGGAAGGCCAAGGCAAGAGGATCACTTGAACTCAGGGGTATAAGACCAGCCTGGCAATATAGTGAGATCCCATCTCTATTTAATTAAAAATAAAAAGTCTTGATAGTTTTGTTTTTCAAGTCTTAATTTTTGCTTAATAATTGTTTGCTCAATCTATGATATATTAAGGAACTTATTTTAACATCTTCCCTTCTAATGAAGGATTTGCCAGGTTTTTTGTTATTACATATACTTTGCTATATTTATTTTGAGACTATATTATGAAATAAAAATACAAGGTTACATTTGTTATATACTTCAATGAATTAAATATTTATTTTTTAAAAAAAAAATTGTCTTTAGCTAAAATAATGCATCTCCCCTTAATTCTATATTACCAGCTATTAAGTACATAACCATTAATTTGGGCTTCTAATACAGGACATTTTCTTATTATTTTTCTGTATCTTTTTATACTTTTACTTTTAACCTATCTGAGTTTTTTATCTTGTAAAAAGCAAAAACTGGAAATTGTTTTTGCTCACATGAGTCTGTAGATTGTGTTAGGTTAACCTCAGTTACTTAAAACAACATTTTATATGTTGCACTTACTACCCTGGACAGTCTGTAACCTGCAAGCTCTGCTTCACTCTGTCCTTACTCCAGAACCTAGGCTAACGAGGGGACACTGTCTTCTTGAACACTATTTTTTTTCTTTTTTTTTTTGCCTGTGGCAGAGGAAAAAAAAACATAACAAAGTACAGACTCTTAATGCTTCTGCAGTGAAGTGGCATATGCTATTTCTGCCCACATTTCAGGACTCAAAGCAAGCTATATGTTGAAACTAACTTTGAATCTTGATGTGTGCAATCCCACTATTTGTCAAGAATAAGACAGAATCCAGACTATGAGATAGATTAATTAGCTATAAATGTACCTTTTATTTCCACCATATTTTATTACATTATTTTATTTATGTTATTCCTAGTTAAGTGATAAGGAAAGGAAGTTAGAGATGCTATTTCTTTGTTATTGTAGAATTCTTGGGCTAGAATAGTCTGTTTTGCCATTTACTGATTGTTTTCTGCAGAGACACCTTACTGAGTAACATAGCACCTAACTCTTTGGTAGCATAAGCTAAAATGTGTTTTTCCACACTTAGCTGGAAATATCCAAAGCCACTGGACTACAACATAAGACGCAAGGTTGAAAACACAGAGACTCCTCATACCTGAATATTTGTGCTATTCATTTCAAATGTTTTTGTAACAAATGAATAACAGAATCAGACTCAGTAGAGATTAATTACTTTTAGAGTTTTCAAAACTTTAGAAGAGCCTTCATTTAAAAGGGCATCACACAAGAATAATCATATGAATACCATCTTAAACAACTTTTCTCATTAATAAAAATAATATACTTTCAGATCTAGTTAAAACTACTGTATTGTTTAAATTCAACAATATTGCTTTTAAGATCCCAGTATTATGAAAATATTAAACAATATTTATGTCAGTTCTCTCATTGTGTAGATGAGGAAACTGAGGCTGAGTAAATAGAGTCTAGTTTCTGGACTCAGAATTCATAAATTTTCTGCTTTAACTTCATTTTTATAATTCAAAATGACTCTTCCTCAATCAGTATTTTGAATATTATAACACTATAGTTATACTGCTTATTAGTAGTAGTTTTTTAAAAAACTATACATTGAACTTTTGGGAATGTTTATCTTATTTTTTCTTAATTAAAGGCAAATGCTGCCTGAAGAAAGTATAACTTCATAGAAAATGCTTAGGACTCATAAATTGTGAACTTTTTTCCTCTCAGAAACATTCAGATATGATTGCTCATCTATTTACATTTTAAACTCTGACAATTTTCCAAGGTTCCGATATCAAATGGCAAATGGTTAGTCCAGACAAACATCACAGATTGTTGTGAAAAGAATGTTTGAGTTATAGTCAGGCATTACCTGCCGCTGCCTCCAATATTTCAGATATACTTAGGATTTTTGTGTGTGCGTAAACTTTTGAACTAACTGCCTATGAAATGTCACAGGGGTAGTGATAGGAGCTATGGATGACTAGGAAGCATCATGAGTCAGTTTGATTCTGGTTCTACATCTTAAAAGATACAAATCAAAACATATCACATAAGCAAAATGCATGAACTATTCAGCCAGATTCTGAATTACACATAAAAAAAACCTGTCACAACATTTAATAATGTTGTCAGTATATATTTCTCTAAGATTTGCAAAGAACACCCCCAAAAAAGCTCTGCTTTTGTTAAAACTTATAGCAGATAATTTCCTATAAATTCTGGATAAGCATTCCAGAGAATTCTTTAAGTTAGTACTTGCTAGGTAGACAGCTGCTTAATCAAGCAAATTTTTTTGGCTATTAAGTGATAACCTTTATCTTATTCCACCAAAATACTAAGGTAGTATGTAGTGGAAAATGTTTTAGGTGATATTAAAAAGAATCCACTTTTTGAATGCTCTTTGGTGATACTATTAGTCTTTTCTGCTAACATTATGAAATTGATTAGACATTTGATGGCAATGATAACCATTTCTGATATGGTGTCATTGCCCAGAGCTTTTAGGTGCTCTAGCATCTTTTGTTAATTGCTGTTTCTTGGGAGTACAAATAAGTATTAACATCTTCAAGCTCTGATATCAGAATCTGAGACAATGCATTCAGTTCAACAGACATTTGTCAAGCAAATCCTTTTTTTTCCTCCTCATTGCCTTCTCTTATCACTAGGACCCACATCTTCTATCAATCACCAATACCAATCAACATTTGTGTCTTTACCAAGTCCAGGGAATCTGATAAGTTGTATAAACGAAAAGGTCATAGTCCTGGCCCTTTGGTCATTTGTGGTAAGGGTTATATTACATTGGCATTAGGTGGCTACTCTGAATGTTCACAGAATTGCATGAGGCATACTTCCTAACATATTATTCGTTGTTTATGTGAAAATCAAATTTAATTAGAGTCTTGCATTTTTATTTATTAAATCTTACTAACTATAAGGCATTATGGGCATGAGGAGCTAGAATCCTGGCTTCCCTGAAATATAAACTCAGTGCCAAAAGTAGGCCAGCCCCAGGGAAGGGAAATATAGCCTACTGTTTTCTATATGCCTCATCTATCTTAAAGACTATCTGTTTAATCTATCATTTCTGTATCTTAAAATAACCTTACCTACCTGCGGAAATAGCAATGGGACTCAGCCAGCACAGTCACATCCTCAATAAATCTATGGGAGTGTAGGTGGACAACAGGAAAAGCAATGACTTAAACTGAAAGAAAATAAGCTAGACTGAAGCTTTCCGATTTGTTTAGCTCACTTGAAGTCACTCTTATGATATTATTACTATTTCTTTTCAAAAGAGTAAAATAAAAGATATCTCATACAAAAGGACACTAGTGAGTGAATACAAAAAAACTTGTGAAAATATATCAGAATAAAAAATGAAGAACAACATACTCTACCCAAAATTAGAAATATCTTTAACTTTCCTGCAAGAAAAATACACTCTTCCACTTAAGCCAAGCATGAAGCATAAAAATTCATGGCAAATAAATATCTTTTCATGTGCTGTTCAGTCTTTAGAAAGCTAAGCTTAAGATAATTAAAGAAAAGTATCAAGGTTTTCAAATTGAAGTTGCCAGAAAGAGTGAAATCATAGTAAATCTACTTTAATTAGGGTGCTACCCAGTAAAGGCAGAAATTTAAACTTCTTAAAGTTTTATTGACAGATGAATTATAGGTGAAAATTTATCATGGGATTTCCAAAAGTGATTGATTGTTAAAGCCATATTCTGATTCCTCAGGGAATTTCCAGGGCTGAGACAATGCCGGGCATAGTGTTTGTGTAATAAGAGAATGACTTTAGAGTAGGACAGATAAGTGTAAATCCTGCCAGCCTCTCCCACTGGTCAGCTGTGTGTAAATTTCTGAACCCCAAGATTCTCATTTTGATATGGGAGTAAAAACACACCCTACACACTGACTTTATGAAAGTTAAGATACTAAATGTCTAACACCCACCAGACATTTATGTCTCAATGAACAGTAACTATTATTATAATTATGCTATCAATATTATAAGAAGGTAGTCAGGTATAGTCAATACAAAGATTTTCTTTGTGATATTTTTAATTTTCTCCTTTTTTCAGTTTCTTCTGTGACTAATGTCTCATGTTGGCAAAGACAATGTGACATAATATTCATTGTCACAGTGAATGGTAAGGAAGATAGAATGTACAATTTCCAATAAAATCAGTCTCCTTTTCTTCATATTTAGAATGCTATGCATAAATGAACTTCAACAACAAAATTCCTAAAATACTAGTTTTCTCAAATTCTGTTTACTAATTAAAATAGGAGATATGTTAATAATAATTGCCATAAAATTATTATAAAAATTGATTTTAAATCTGAAAATATGTTTTAACTAATAAGACTCCTTTAAGAAGAAATGTATCTAGAGTTTTCAAACTGTACATTAAGTGGCATGAAGATAGTTTAGAATATTTGAAGTGGTCATGGGGCTTGACTCGCAAATTTCCATTCCTAATCTTATCATATCACTTGTCAATTCCATTCTCCATTTAAATGGTTCACTTAGAAATAGACAATGTGTCTCAATTCTGCCTAATAAAACATAAAATAAAGTAAGCTCAGGTCATCTTGGAAAAGATTTTTCTCTCCTAAAAGGAGAGATGAAGTGGAGAAAAGTGTCTTCCTCTGAATATTGTCATGTCTGGCTGTAATGCCTGGAAATATGGCTGCCACTTTGCAACCATGAGTAGAGCCAGCCCAAGAGCCAAGTTCACATACTGATTTGAATGGGGGGGAGATGTAAAGCCTGGGTTTTTGATCATTCCAACCTATGGGATGTTCCCTACTTCTGGACTACATGAGAGGTAATATGCTTTCTTATTTTTAAAGCCAATTAGCATCATTCTTTTCTGTAACCTATAGCTGCGAGCCATCAAAACTGAGAATAGTAAGCCTTAAACAAATGTTAGCTACCTTTCTCCTCATCCTCCCACTCCCCCTCACCATCATCATCATTCTTAGTATTCCTGTTTCCTTCTTATAGCCTCACACAAGGCTTACATGAAGCATTTCCTCATCTCTCAACAGCTTAATCCCTTTCTTTTTACCCTTTAGAGTGAGCCCAAGGCTGTTCTCTAAAAATTGGTTGCTCTCATAGCACCCTGTCCTGTTCTGTCATGTCACTTAAAGCAATTGTAGTTAAATCAGAGTTTATTAGTTGCTTATATCTCACTAGAGTGTAAAGTCAGAAAGGCAGTAACCTTTCTGCCTTATTCAATGCTGTGTATCCAGTGGATAGCACAGTCCCTGGAAAGCAGTGGGAACTCAGTATACATGTTGAGAAAAAAAAGAATACAAATAAAATCTACATGTAAAATAAGGATTAACTATTATACTTCGAAATAAACTATTCACTAGGAAAATTGGTCTAGTAAATATGCTGCTTACATTTGGATTATAACTGTTGACAAAACTTTATTGACATTACACATTATAGACTATAAAACTGTCCCATAAGCAGTATCTTGAAAAGAAAGGAAGGGAATTGGAAATGACTAGAGTTGAAGGAGCTGAGAAGAAACCTGTCAGATATACCAGAAATTATGGTACTCAGAGGGTTAATGGCTTTTATTTGACAGTTGTGTTTTGCCTTACTTTAATTGGATATACAATTTTCTTTGCGTTTTGCAGTTGACAACTCTTCAAGGACAAATACTAAACCCTGTGGGGGGAGAAAAAAAATAACAGATTGCCAGATAGACTAAAAAACAATTTAGCACTCAGCAAGAAAAGAAGCAATAACCCAAGCTGAAACATCCCATGTAGACAATGTCACCACAACACTTCCAGATAAAAAAGAAGAAAAGCACCCCTATGCATCTCAATTAGAGAATCAAGGTGAACCACATCATTTTCCTTGAAGCACTGCCAAATATTTAACATAAACTTCAATTAGGTTTCAAGCTATCAATTACAAAAGAAATTTTCTTTTAGAAAAATAATCCGAGAAGAAGTTTGCTTAATGTTTTTCTTATAAACCTCATTTTGTTTAATTGATCTGAGGAACTGTCTGCCCATTACTCAAGGTATGTCAGTTTCTTTTTCCTGTGGTGTGATCCAGAGAAAACTTCATATATATTTGCACACACACAAGCACACATATGCACATATATATGTGTGTGTATGTATATGCATATGCGTGTACATAGATGCACACAAACATACACACAGGCAATACACAGCCAATTCATTTGATTAAAAAAATCAAATACTGGTTAGAGTAAGAGGATTGAGTATTGGTATGCTTTGTAAAGATTCTTCTTTAATTCTTCTTTAATGCATATAATTCTGCTCACTTCCTTAAATATCTTCTATTACCCAGAGCTACATTTAATTCCAAAGTGTGCATTAGCATTTTTTCTCTCTTAAAGCTTAACATACAAATCTAATTATATTGAATAATAAGGAATTGCCCTGTTTTTATGCTTAAGAGTTCGAGAAATCACCAATTGTTGAGGCAGGTTTTCTCCCATGTAAAAAGTGAAATATCCACTTAGGTAATTGTAGTCACTTACTTTTCATTAATTATGTCAAAGTGTTAGCAATCCTTTCATTTCCCAGGAGGCATACAATGTGGAAAAATTGTTTTATCCATTTATTTTTATTTCAAGATTGTCCAATACCATACCAATGCCTAATCTACTGCTGTTATTAAATCAAGTAAACAAATAAGTAAAAATAAAAACCAACAAAAGAGCTCTAAATTTAGAAAGGGTGGCAAAGCTAGCCATTGTAACTGCCAAAAACTATTTTATATAATTATTTAGCTATTTCTATAATTTGAATAATTTCAATGGTAGTCACTTATTGTTCTTGCTGTTGGGTCAAGAGGTCAAGAGGATAATTTCCATATCAGTAACAGAGGAATTTTATAAAATAAAAAGAAAGTATTATTTTGACACAACCAGAAAACTAAGATTATATGAATTTATTTCACTGGTACATTTGAAATGACATTCCTCTATTTAAAAAATAATATTCACTTATGAAGCCACTTGTTATGCATCTTTTAGATACTTAGCCTAAGGCAATGGGGTCACAAAGATGACTATACATAGTACTTCATTATAGTGTGGACTTTGAAACCATTGCATGGATTTACTTAGCAGCACTACTTCTTACCACATATCGGGTGTGTGAGTTACTCAGACGTGCTTTGCCTTAGTTTCTTCATCTGGAAAACAAAGACTCTCAGAGTGCCTTCCTTTCTGGATTCCTGTAAAGTATAAATAAAATTTCATAATAAGGTCCTACATTATTTGAAATAACACATTAAACACACATTAAGGATTAGCTGTTATTTCTACTATTATAACGTATAATTTGTCAGGATATTTAAGCACATTATTTGTTATACTACCATGTGACATACACCATGTAGAAATATTTACAGTGTTTCAAGAACAACTACTTGCTTCCAGATAATTAAAGGCATGTTTTAGAGAGAAGGTGACTTTTGGCTAAGGGAATCATCTAATTTACCATCCAGGCCACCACACTAGAGAGTGAAAGGGCATGCTATTAATGATTACTCTGAAACAGTGGACATAAACCGGTACTGACCCAGGGAAGACCATATGTATGATAACTTTACTGTTACCTGGTTTAAGCATTCAAATTTGACAGATGGAAAAGGAAGAGGAGAGGTGGGATCAGGGATAGCTGAATACATAATATAAGGATGCTGAAACAGATGGAATTTATAAGGTATAGCAAATAATTTAGTATGACTGACACATGGAAGTATGGATGTGGAGAATTGAAAGAATAAAGGTGGAGATTGTCCTTTCAGCCCTGAAATAGCACTTTATTGTACAGATAATGAATAAACATTGAGTTATTTTAATCATGGGTGTGACATTATCAAATTTGCATTTAGAAAGATAATTCTAGCTGGTTTGCATGTTAGAATGTTGAAAACCTACATGGAGAGAGTTGACTATAGTAGTCCAGACTAGAAATGATAAAGATGTCAATTAATCAAGGGTCTGTAAGAATGAAAAGGAAGTGTGGGATTGAGAGTCATTTTGAAAATTGATTTAATAAGATTCATTGCGCTATTTGATGTGCAAAAATTAAAGAAAAGGAAAAGATAAAACTAACCCAAGTTCTAGCTTGGATAAGTAAATGAGTGGTGATTAAGATAAGGAATACACGACCCACCCTAATGTCTTCATTTTAATCACCTCTTTAAAGCCCTTACCTCCAAATACAGTCACACTATGAGAAACTGAGGGTTAGGAATTCAGCAAGTGAGTCTTGAGGAGATATTAAACAAACCCACAACACAGATAAAGTATGCATTTGGGGGACTTCCAAGCCAGAGGCTCCCGTGAAAAAGGTAAACTGAAGCAGGTATTATGCAGCAAAAGGAAATAGAATTACAAACTGAACGTATGTGGGTGAGGCAAGGCAGGGTGGGGCAAGGCCTTTGGGTAGGCTGATAACAGGGTTTTTCAACAATAAATCAATGGGAATGCGTTTGTTCCTCCCAGGACCCTGGCACCTTGACTCCGGGACTATAGCATGTCAGCAAATACAAGCAAAGCCCAACACTCTGATTTGCATTTATGCCAATCTAAACTATCTGGTGTTTAGTTTGATTTTTTGAGTGCAGGTTCATTCAAGGACCAGGTTCCCTTGTGCTCAGGGTGAAGTAGAACCAGAAAACATTGTTATCCATTCCCAGAAGTTTTGGAAGAGCCTTGGTAGAAAAGCAGAAGCTGCTTTGACAATGAAAATATTTGATTCCTGTCAGTTTTTGGTCAGGAGCGGATATCCACCTAGATCAACCCGAGGAGAAGGCTCGGAGAACAGATATACCCCGAGCAATGTGATCAATGTCCTTGAACCTTCATTCTTCATCTGGAAACAGAGATATAAATGCCTGGCTCACAGATTTAAATGTTATATATTGATAGCATTCATCAGTATAACATTTATTTAAATAAGTAGGTGCTCAATAGGTGTTGGTCTTCTAACTTGTCTACATCCCATCCCCATTCCAGGGTCTTCAGAATTGAAGGAGAGATGTTGTATCACTGTTAGAAGGCTGCTTTGGGAAATTCTGCAGCAGGGAGGAGGGATTGTCAACCCCTACACCATGACCACCAAGTTCCTCACCTTGGTTGAGTCCCTAAATCTCTCTGAACCTCAGGTTCCTCCAAGTATAATGCAGACTTCACAGAGCTGTTGTAAACATTAGGTGAGGTCAATTGATATTGCTTAAAAGACCTGGTCCATAGGAGATGCCCAATAAATATTACTTCCTTCCCCCTCACCCTGCTGCCTGAAAAAATATTACACCTGTGAGACTGACTTTGAGGACCAGTGTGGGCAGAGGGTTGTGCATATAAACTATTTAATGAGTACCAAATACAAAAGTCAAGCTGGTAAAATATCAGGCCTTGCCCCAGAAAGGCAAATACCACATGATCGCACTGATATGTAAATCTTAAAAAGTCAAACTCAGAAGCAGACAGTAGAATGATGGTTATCAAGGGCTGGGGGAGGGAGGGACTGGGGAGATATTGGTCAAATGATACAAAGGTTTAGTTAGGTGGAATAAGTTCAGAAAATCAATTGTACAATATATCAATTATAGTTAATAGCAATATAACATATACTTGAAAATTGCTGAGAGTAGTGTAAGTGTTCTACCACAAAAAAATGTGTGGTAATGGGTGTTAATTACCTTAATTTAGTCATTTCACAATATGTACATATATAAAAATATGTTGTATGCCATAAGTATATATAATTATTATTTGTGAATTTAAAAAATAAAAATAATTTCCAAAATAAAAAAAAAGATGAGGAATACAAAGTAGGAACAGGTTGGGAGAAGAATGTAATAAACTATACCTTAAACACAATTTATGTGTTTGAGATGTTGCTAGAGAAAGCATCAGCAGATGCCACGTATGCAAATGTACATTATTGAATGAACACCCTGGGTTATTTGAAATAAAAGAAGATTTATGACACTGTCTTTATGCTATGTTGAAACAAGAGATTAGGAATGTATTCTACATTACTTGCCCACAATAAATATCCTTTAAACAATAACTGTCAATTGCTGGTATAATGTACTTTTTTTTCCTGTGAGAAAAGAATGGAAGTTTTTAACAAAAATTATCTTTAAAATGCCACTTGGCATAGACTCATACTCTAGTAAATAGCTTACTTTCCTTCCATAGACAGAGAGCAAAAAATGAATAAATATTTGTTAAATTGAATTCAATAGATCTTGATCGAAATAAATGTTCAAACTAAGGGGAGAACAACTGGGCAGAATAAGAAGGGATAATGTGAAAGAATCCATTTCTTTTCTTTTTCTGTATTCCAAGCCTATGCTGGATGATGTCTGTGGGAGTCAGGAAGGGTATGATGACAGATAGCACCACCTATGTACTCAGCAATTGCTGCTCATATCAGGTCCACCAGGTGGTCACAGAAAATGTACAGAGCAGAACACACCAAAAAATTCCAAATGCATTGGTCCTTTCTCTCTTGGACTTGCAGAGTGTCTGAGAGAAGAAAGTTGTTTTCTTCCAAACCAAGTTTCTTGGCTCTCAGCTGTAGGCAAAGTATCACAAGATATAAATTGCTTTGGAGTATCTGATACTATGTATTCGTTAAGGTAGATACTTGGCATTTTAAAATTATGGTTTGAAGTACTGCATATACTTTGAAATTTTACTCTATTTCTCTCAAATATTTAATTCTCTTTCATTAACTTAATTGATCCATTAAAATATTTAAATATTAATCTAATTACCTTAAGGTAGATATTGATTTAAAACTAAAAAAGAGGCACAGTTTATCCACAATGAGAGCAAGGTCATTTTTGTTTTGCTAAGGAGTTCTGACCCAGTGAATTTTTTTAAATAAAATACTAATGGGCTCTGTCCATGTGAGATGTCTGCTTAATTACTTTTCTGCCAACCCACTGGTTTCTGGTCCTGAGAACCATAGATGCTAATGCTGACTCTTTGAGAACAATTTTACTTCCTGCCAATGATAACATAGATAGGCAGGTGGCCCCATGTCCCCCTATCCATGATGTTCTCCCTGGCGGATCATTTCCAGAGATAGAGACTATAAATTATTGCCAAATACTTGGAAATACGTATGTCTATTTTTAAAAGTTAGCTACATTATTTCAATTCTGCTCTTCTACTCTTAATTAGCATTAGCAATCAGTGTTCTTTCTTTGCTCTCCAGAAGACAATGTCCTTCTTTCCAAGACAAAGTCTGGGCACAAAAGCATGTACATCTGTCACATCCAAGTCATATTAAAATGATGTAGGAAAGTCTAAGACTGGCAGAGAGCTGTAATTGGAACAGAATGCTAGTATCCCAAGCTGGGGTTGATGCTGGCCACTGACCCAAAATTGCTTCAATTCTCCTTTAACTTTGGCTACTGGTTAAGAGTACACCTTTCTTCTGTGATATGTAAAATAGAGCAATTAATAGGATGAAAGTCTGATGATGCCTAGATAAATCCTTCTTGAAGCCTGGAAAGCATAGACAAGATAAAGAAACAAGAAGAACTTTTCTCTGTTGTGAAATTCCAGTCATCATGTAGGTGTAAAAATGAAACAATTTCATATTTAGATTTTTTTTTGCTTTAAGCACAGCAAAATTCCACTATTTTATTTATTTTATTTTATTTATTTCTTTTACAACGTTTAGGTGGAAAAGAAGGCATTTGAAAACTTGTTTTTTTTGAAAAAAGGTAAGTACTCTCATATTTCTTTTGAAAAGTGTTGAGGCTACGGGCAAAGCAAATAATTTTCAAATAGCATTAATCTTTTAAAAAACTGTTATTATGAGCCTTAACATAGACACTGAACCTGCACATACGTGGTTATGTATGTATACCTCATCCCAAAATGAAAAAAAAAAAGCAAAACAAAACGTGGATTCAAATACTTGTTATATTCAAATACTTGTTATATTCAAATACTTGTTATATTCAAATAACAGTTGTTATTGTTAGACCTTTAAATTGTTTCCAGTTTAAAATGATAAAACGGCCGGGCGCGGTGGCTCACGCCTGTAATCCCAGCACTTTGGGAGGCCGAGGCAGGCAGATCACGATGTCAGGAGATCGAGACCATCCTGGCTAACATGGTGAAACCCCGTCTCTACTAAAAATACAAAAAATTAGCCGGGCGTGGTGGCGGGCGCCTGTAGTCCAAGCTACTCTAGATGCTGAGGCAGGAGAATGGTGTGAACCTGGGAGGCGGAGCTTGCAGTGAGCCCAGAGCGCGCCACTGAACTCCAGCCTGGGCAACAGAGGGAGACTCCGTCTCAAAAAAAAAAAAAAAAAAAAAAAAAAAAAAGATAAAACAACATGATCTTTATTTGTATTTAATCAGCCAATATCAACGCAATAATGGGTTTGAATCATCAAGTTCTAATTGTCCATTAATTCCTTTTATTCTGAATTGGATAGGCCAAAGCTTATGCTTTTTCTAATGAAGAATAAGCTAGTTCACTGGAAATCATGAAAAAGAATAAAGATTTCAAATCACTTTTTTGTGATGTCATTTTTACTCTGTTGAAAAACTACACTTTTGGAAAGTAGAAAACAGAAATTTCTAATGATCTTTCTATTTTCACTCACATGTAATTTTTCCTTTTTCTTTTTGGAAGCTAGTGAAAATACGAGTTTATTTGAACAATTTGGTCTAGTAGCAAGCAGGTGGGATTCTACTGGTACAATAAACATAATACTTAGGAGAAATTCCCTGAGTGAATTGATAGGAATAATTAATTTGTGTATATATGTGTGCACTAATGTATTTGTGTCTAGGACCACATGTGTTCATATGTATACATAGCAGTAATAACACCAATGTCAGCATAACATCCATGTGTCACTGTATTCATGCTACTATTAGTACTGAGAAGAAAACACATGTACAGATTTAATCTATAAACTGGTTTGCAAAGATTGTCTACATCTTCATTTCTGAAACTTTTTCTCTTATGAATTATGACTAAAGTCCTGGCATCAGAACAATCAGAAATAATCTAAAGTATAATTTACTTATTTTTCTTCATTGTTTTAGCAGACAAATGTGATTTCCAATCATATGTGAAAGTTGTTCTGGAGATCCATACTAATGTACTATTATCATTAAATAAAATTGATGCCCAGGAAGATTAGCCATGTTTATATTGGGATCTGCAACTCAACATGTAAATGAATGTGTAGTCTAGAATCAGAATAACTCCTCTAAATGATTTAAATCTATATATTAGCTGAAGAAGGAAAAAAGTTGTATTTTTGGCTAATGAAATTGCTTGACGTTTACTCTAAAATCCACGTGGCGTTTATTCAAAAAACCCTTTCCAGAAAGTTATGAGGTTTCAAAGGTGCCATTGGGAAATTGTAATTCCTCAGAGTGCAAATACATTTTAGGAGAGGATACTAATTGGTCAGTGTGAATTCTGGTAATAGTGTATGCTGGATCAAATGTCTGCATTCCCAGCCACTTACTAACGTCAACTCTAATCAACAGTCTCAGGGCTGTTTAAATTTTTACCATTGCAATCATCAAGGCTTCCCTCTTTCCTCTCGTTTATTTACATTAATAATGGAACCTTCGTTGCTATGCTCAGAGTGAAATATTCTTCTCAGAAACAGTTTATGGAGCCAAACTCCTTTTCAGTGTCAAGTAGAGCTCAAATCATTGACTCATTGTTTTTGTTTTTCCAGATAATATCAAACATATGTCCAAGATAATATATAGTGAGCCTGCTCAGAAAAAAATCTGACTGCATTTAGTGTGCGAAGTTTGATATCAGACGTCAGAAAGCACGTATTTTCATGTTGGGCAGTTGTTGGGTATTTGTGCATAAAAATGATGGGAAGAAAAGATAACTTATTCACTGTCTACGTATTCTTCCAACCATAACTCCAAGGGATAGTTTTATATTTATAGTACAATGGAATCTAATTATTAAGTAAAAAGAGTAAGTCATTCAATAAAATAGGTTCTTTGGCAGAATTATTGTGCCAAAAAAGTGAGTGACAATGAAGCAATATAATTTCTAATCATTAGTGATTGATCTTATTGTACATCTCCAAGTGAGTCTTTGCCATTTTTCATTTAAATCTATTTACTCAACTGTCACATTCTGAGATAAAATGGTGTCATTTTATCATTTGCATAAGGATATGATAGGGAATATACCATAGATATGCAAAAAGGAAGTGAAAATTGTGTAACTAGTAAATTGGAGAAATTTTAGATGTTAAATTTTAATCATTTAGAGAAAAGCACATCTCTGCCATAAAATATCTGAATATTTCTTATATCTTGATTCAATTAGGTTATTCAGACAAACCTTCATTATATAATAGAGCTCTCATTTACATTTGAGACCTGAGGCAAAATTAATTTTTCTTTCAGATGGTATATAATAAAATCCTTCTAGTGTTGTCTTTCTGTAAGTCCCTTTAGAAAAATGATCCTGGGAGAATTTCAAACTTCTTAAAATACTTGATGGAATAGATGAAACCAAACCCTGAAGAATTAAAGATAGTCAGTTAGCACATATGTCAGTATTAAATAGCCCCAAGAAATTAAAGATCAAGTGTTGAATTTGACAGATATGAATTTCTTAGAAATGTGGAGAAAACCTGAAAAGAGTGGTATTGCTTTTCATTGGAAAGTTATGAAATGAAACTTAAAAAAACTACCTTAATCATTTCTCTCTATATGTAATATAGTAAGAGAAGAGACATGGAAATTGCTATAGGCAAATCTTTCTGCTTTTGACTAAGGAGAAAAGTATGTCAACTCGGTCAGAACGAAATAGTTAATGTATTCAAAAAACAAAATAAAAATCTGAAGTGTCTACATAAAATCTTTGACCTAATTTTTAAATCACATAAATATAGGATTAATATATAGGTAAGTAAAAGGCATTTGAAATCTGAGTATCTTTAATGTAAAGAACTAATTGTGCACTCATTAGGGCAATAAAAGTGATCAACCTTACAAATGCATTGCATTCTAGATAGTAGTAACACCATTGGAAAGCAAACGAGCTCTGATAGATTTTATCTAGTCTGGATGGTACAACCTAAGCACAAAAATAATTGATAACTTAAAGCTCAGAGTTCATGTATCAACCCAAAGCAGGGGAAATGTTCAGTGAAAACAATTTTTCAATAAATATTTAGGTCGTAATTCTCAGTTTCAGATCAGGTAAGGATTGTGAGTCCCATGGATTCTAGTGAGGTAGATTGTTTTCTAATACACGTTAGCATGTCCATGCAACACTGCTGTAGGATTACTGCTTTGGCACTGAGCAATTCACTCATAAAGGTTGCAGCATTATCCTGGGCAGTCAAAGCTACTTGAAACAGGTATATATTTTATAGAAGTTTGCACCAGATAATTGTGGGAGGTTGTCCTTTGATCTACAATCTAGGCAGTAGTGTCTCTTAGCAGGCCTCGTGATTAGGTAAGATATCTAGTAACACCAACTTAAGTTTTCATCCAGAGGGCTAAGAAAAAAATTGTTAGGTAGAGACTGACACAAGAAGGATCAATGACTGTGATGGCAACAGATATAGTAAACATATAAGTCTTGTGGAAATAAATGGAACATTCATCAGAACTATCAGATGCTGAATTGAGAATGGTGTAATTGCATGTAATATAATAGAATTCAGCTATCCTGGTGTAGGTCCAGGAAGACTTTATACATAAACTATCAATATTAACAATACCAATAGACTGTAAAATCTTTGTATTCCCAGCAAATAGCTTACAGCCCAGCATACTGCATGTCAACTGGAACCATTTTTAAATGAATGAATTAATGAATGAAGAAAGGAAATAAAAAAGAAATGAATTTGTATAAAAATATTTTGTTCACAGAATCATAAATAAGAAGAAAATGCAGAATAATTATACCTGACTGGGAAAAATTTTCATCCTATTAATTTAATACCACTTCATAATTCTTAATACGTGTGAACTATTTTCCTCCATCTGACATGTTTGCCATTAGTTGAAAACTATGGGTTAGATGCCTGAAAATGTTCTGAATTAGCATGCAGATAAAATATGTGTTTTAGATTAAAACTATGTATCAAATTAATATGTATCATCCACCAACAATTATATTTGATTAGTCATCCCACATAAGAAATATCGGGGAATTGAATAAAGCAGAGCACTTTGTTGTGTGATTCTCTCATTCAGCTCAATTAAATATAATTTCTACTTTGTGGCAGTATGTAAATAGTAGGATAGGATCAATGGTGATTCCTTAAAAGAATACATTCCAGAAGCTTTCAGTGTCAGAGCACTCTGATACTAAAATAGAATTCTGAGGTGAATTTAAATGGAGATGTATAATCATTACTAAGAATTTTAGCTACAAAATGCTCTTATAGAACAACAAAACAAGTAAATATGTTGGTAAATTTGCAACTGTGTTACCTTTTTACAGTGCTTTGAAGCAAGGTTTTTATTTTGGTAACATTTATGATCATCTAAAGTAGATGGTTAGATAGTTCAATCTAAAATGGATAGTGAAATCTCTAAACTTTATTTGAATTCTAAGTTGAATTCAAAATAAGGGATCTGGCTGGGAGTGGTGGCTCATGCCTGTAATCCCAGCACTTTGGGAGGCCAAGGTGGGCGGATCACGAGGTCAGGAGATCAAGACCATCCTGGCCAACATAGTCAAAACCCTTCTCTACTAAAAATAGAAAAATTACCTGGGTGTGGTGGTGCATGCCTGTAGTCCCAGCTACTTGGGAGGCTGAGGCAGGAGAATCGCTTGAACAAGGGAGTCAGAGGTTGCAGTGAGCCGAGATCATGCCACAGAGCGAGACTCCATCTCAAAAAAAAAAAAAAAAAAAAAAAAAAAAAAAACAGAGATCCAGATTCATACGTGGTTAGCTTTTATCTGTAAGTTTACTGCAATTAATTGTAATGCTACCTATTATATTAACTTCAGGAGGAACTCAGAAAATAGGGGGCTTTAGAATTTGATATAATCAAGGTGGAAAAATACCTATAGATACCACCAAAAATTGTCTCAGGACATTTTAAAGAACAGGATTAAAGGATATATTTTCTATTTGAATATTCTTTAATGAACACCTTCAGAAAATAAATGAAAGATCTGAATTTAAATTCTAAGTCAAAGAGCAGTATAAAAATGTTCCTTACTTTATTATAAAAGAAATATCTGGCCCTTGGTGTAAGTGGAAAAGGGCATAAGTATCCATTTCTATTCAAGCTTAGGAAAAGTATGAGAAGCATGTTACTGAGCATGGAGGAAATGCAAATCAATTTACACAACTGTTTCCCTTCTATTTCCTGTCCTCGGGTACTCCATGGACCTCTAGAAGATGACAAAAGTAGTATTATGATAGAATTGACAAGTCTAGGTAACTCATTGGCTACAGGGGGCAAGAAGAAAGAGGAATGGAATCAGAGCTCTGATATTTTGATTAAGGGTTAGTGGGTATGTGTGGGTAGGGAAGTGAGTGGGAGTAGTGTGAAGGCACACTATTTATAAAAATAGAGGTTGGAGGAAAAAGGTGTGAATTTGAAGTTAATGAAGTAGCATTTGAAAATTTGGCACTAGGGCTCAGAATAGAAACAGGAGTTAAATATATAAATTTACAAGGAAATTATTCACATAGCAATGATAAGTAAAGCTATGATTTTTGGATAAGATTTTTAGATAAAGGGGAAATTTTAAAAGGAAGATAAAATTGGCATGAAATTATATGTTTGAGGAGACTTACATTTAGAACATTTTAAACTACAGGGAAAGCAGAGATATATAAGTAGGAAAAAGCAGTTAATAATTGAAGAAAATCAAGGAGAAGCCAATGGATGATCTGTTTGAAGGGTAAAATTCAAGTAATGGAGTGGGTAAACAACAAACACTGAGGGGATGGATCAAGAGGAGATAGACAATGAAGATGAAAAAATAGGGGTATCAGCCATGAAGCAAAATGCTGAAGGAGACAGAAAGGGAATAAGCCCTGGTGTGAGTAGAGGACCATTGACTGATAATGGATTATAGCAGATGCAGATTAATAGATAAGGGGAAAACGTGAGGTGGAAAGGGAAGTTGAAGATATTCTGTTTTCTCCTTAAATGAGGATCTAGAATAGAACGGATTTGGAAAAGTGATATAAAAAGAAGAGCAGCAGTAAGGGAGAGATGCAGGAAGCTTCTAAAGAAAGTCAAAGTGCTTATAAATGTGGTGGGAATTGGCCTCAGTTCACACAAGTTTCTTGAAGATTAGGCAGACTGGGAGCAGGACCAATAAACATGACATTAGTGTGATGAGAGCACAGAGGCCCAAGGGAAGGAAAATCCTAGTAAAACAGTTACAAAAATGGTATCAAAAGTAAAGCCTAAAAGAGAAGCAAGGACAGCACAGGGAGATTTTCAGTCTCCAAGGCCATGGTAGCAGTTCAGCGTTGGAATAGGCCCTGGTTTCTGGCACTCTTTCCTTCATTTATTAAGTATTGATACATACACTAAGTAGTTTAATTTTAATGCATTAAAAGTATGTTGACGGTTCTTCGGCTATGATCTTATTCTACCTGGTGAAGGGAAATGTTGAGTTCTCCAAAGAGCCCCTTTAACTTTTTCTTCTTTGTCTTTATTAGTATGTGGATGTAACTGAAAAGAAACTAAAACAGAGAAAATGAAGTCAAACACTGTTTCTCAGTTTATAGTGAAGACAAAAAAAAAATCATGAAACAGCACAATACTATTATTCTTGGAGTGGAAGTCTAACTTTCTGCTAAAGATACTCATGTTTTCTGAGCTGATAGAATTTTCTAATTTTTAGAAGTAATTTCATTCATATATCTAAAATTGAAGTTGTCTTGTCTTAAAGTGCCTGAAGGGAAAAAAATAGGAAGTATTTTTTTGTTGTTGTTTTTCCCCTGACAGACTATTTCACTTTTATTGGCTGCACCATTTGGGGAATATTTGATAACAAGGCAAAACTCAAAGGGGTGAACTTTATTACTCTCATTTATTTTGCTCCAGGGTCAAAGAGAGTTGAGCCATTTATCTCTGTAGTGTACCTTCTACACACACTCATACTATGGGCATAGACTCATGGGCCTATGTAAGAAGATTGACACTGCTGAGGAAAAATTTTGCTTAACACCATAACTACCAAATCATTGACCCATAGCCCATTATTAATTGGTATAACAAATGATTAACAGACTGATTTAGTAGAAGGTAGTTAAAAACTGTAAAGCACTCTGGAAATAGTCACTAAAATTAATTTTATAAACCACGCTTAATACTTGTGCAAGGAAATAAATCACTTTTAAAACTGGAAGACTTTAAAACTTTTTGTACATTGGAAAACAAAGGTCAGAGAAAATAAGCCATTGACTGCTAACAAATTATAACTAGAATACAAATCTTGTTTCCCACAATAAGCTTCTTTCTATAATCCTTTAAAAGTAGTGATAATTCTAAAGTAATAATAATAAAGAACATTGTCAAGTTAATTATCCGTGAACTATCTTAATGAAGTCAAAACCCACAATCAGAGTAATCTTTATCCAAACTAGTAAGAGTATCCAATATCATTTAATTTTTCTTTTTGTTATTTCTGTTCTTGTTAACAGCATGATTTTTAGTGTTCTCAATATCTATCAGTATGACTTATTTTATTCTCACTTTTGTACAGCATATGATAGATTGAATTTCTCACTTTTGTACAGTATATGATAGATTGAATTTGTTCTTTATTTTCTATAACTATTAGGTAAAATCTAAGTTAAATTTCCCCAAAAAGGGATATTAGTTAGTTAAGTTACCAGTTATGACCAAACTAATATTATTTTCCAAGTTGTTAAAATTTTTACTGGAAATAGGGAAATTTCTAATTATCAATATTAATGAAGCATATATATATATAGTCTTCATTTACATATATATAAAATCATCTAGTCATCAATTACAAATGGATGGGATCTTAGAATTTCTTTACCAAACATTCTTTAATTTTTGCAGTTATAAAAATTGAAGAGTTTAAATTGTTTCCTAGTCTAACCAGACTGGTACCATATTTGGCATTAGAACTCAAGCCATATAATTCTTCCATTAAAGTTTCTTAAAAAGCATATATACCCAAACTTGAAAGCCCTTTGACTTACTGTAACCTGTATTTTACCTACTTACATATGACTCTTTGAACATTTTGTTCCATTATCTGTCTTTTGTAGGGGATGAGAATAAGCCCTTAGAAAACTACTATAATGTTCTGGACTGAGCTTAGCACTTTGCTTACAGTTAGGATTTTTAAACTGTTGAAAGGGTCTCTGATACCCTTTTATTCCATTTTCCAGGCATAGAGACAGAGGCTCAGATTACTAAACATGACCCAAATAATGTGGATAATAATATGGCACAGAAGTTCCCACCAGATTGTTTCCACTTCAAAGCACATTCTTTTGTTCCCCTCTGATGAAATAACTTCTTCCATCTCCTCTATAATCTCCTTCATTGTAATTGTTTATTATGTAATATTTCATGGCCCTAATGTTTTCAACCATGAGCATCTTCTTTGATTCACTAAATATGCCTACTAGATCAACCTATGATCAATATTTTTGGACACTTTTATTATTTTTTTGAGGAGTATATGTATTTTGCTCTATTTTCCAGTGGCACAAATATTACCTCATTAGAAAAGGTGTTCAAATTTTACTCTTCATTTATTGAAAAAACATCTTGCATAGAAGTACTATAGTGATACTGAGTTATTAAAATCTCATCCTAGATAATGTATGAGAATTAAACCAAAAGCCCTGAGAACTTGTCCTCACTATTGGGTGACAAACCAATGATTAGACAGAGATTATTCTGAGATGAATCTGTAGCTCATTCTTAAGGAAAATCGGCTAAATTTTACATTATGGCAATTTAGTATTTTTAAAACATTTAAGATTATATTTTATGGGATTTTTGTTCATGAGGCATTCTCAAATACTACTTCATAAATTTTGTAAAATCCATTTAACAGATAAATTAACAAGTAAATGAGGTGCATGTGTGTAGTCAAAACAAGTACAAATTGCTCAAAACAAAAATTTAAAGGCTTTGAGTATTTTTACTTGTTGTTTACTCAACAGTCTAATGAGTTGATGGTTTCAGATCAGTTAAAATGGTGCTGCAGGGGAAAATAAATATTTCTTCTTTTCATCTTAGATTTATGGCTGAGGCTTCTATGACAACAGACAGATTAACTAGAGGAAAGCACACACCAAACAGGAGCCTTCAGAAATGAAGACTCAAAGACAGAGGTAAACTTGTGTATTTTTGTACTAAGTCTGATGAAGAAGTGGATAATTGTTAAGAAGTATGATTGGAGGACAGAGGGTAGAGTCTATTAATAATAAACTTGGAGGAGCTTAAAAAGTCCTGTTTGGGCTGGGTGCGGTAGCTTATGCCTGTAATCGGAGCACTTTGGGAGGCCAAGGCAGGTGGATCACGAGGTCAAGAGATGGAGACCATCCTAGCCAACATGGTGAAACCCCGTCTCTACTAAAAATACAAAAATTAGCTGGGCCTGGTGGCACATGCCTGCAGTCCCAGCTACTCGGGAGGCTAAGGTAGGAGAATCGCTTGAACCCAGGAGGCAGAGGTTGTGGTGACCCAAGATCATGCCATTGCACTCCAGCCTGGGCAACAAGAGCAAAACTCTATCTTAAAAAAAAAAAAAAAAAAAAAAAAAAAGTCCTGTTTGTTGTCTTTTCTTCTCTGTGTCCCTGTGTTTTCAGAGAAAAGTATGTTCCTTTCCTCCAGGTACAGGGTGAGTACCTGTCACATGACCTGCCTGTTTTAGGAAAGGTCAAAAGATTCTTCTCTAGGTTTTATGGCCTATTTTAGGAGAGAATAAGAAATGATCACAAAATGACCTTCCTGCTTCTGCTGTTTTCACAAATGCTAAGTAGCCATATTTTGAGGTAGTGTCCTAACCCCATCAGTGCCTAAACCTACATATCAGCTGCATGTTATCAAAGGAATTACTGACAAACAATAAAAATAAATTATTTCAAAGATGTGATATCAGTGTTGTGGTAGAGTGAATTCTCTACATACTAATTTGACGTTGTTTCTAATGAACTGATCAAAGGAAGTTGTCATTTAATTGCAGTTAATCAGTTTTTAAGAGATTAACTTAAGATAGATACCATTAGATTGATTTAAGGGGTCTCTTTCCTACTATTTTCTACTTTTGGTAGGTAGCATCAAGCATGCTCTCTCTCTCTCTCTCTATCTATCTATCTATCTCTCTTTCTCTCAGATATTATCCTTTTCCCATCCATCAGGGTTTTGCCAATCTGGCTTGAGACAAATAGAATTTTCATGCTGAAAGTGCTATTTATGACTATACACAACAAAATGCAGAATAGCAGCTCTAGGATAGATTGACAATCATAATAATGACTATTATCCTCTAAAGCTGTTTCTGCTACTTAAAGGGGCAGTATCCATTATGGAAGGAATACAAGAGTCATTCTTTAAAGTATGGCTCCATTGGAAAAATGTTTTGTTATAGTGATTGTTGCAAATATGAGCATATTGCTTTTGGCTCTTTGAAATGAAAGGAGCTTCATTTCACTTACGAAGGTTATGTGAACACATTTAAATTGGTAACATTTGAATTCATGTGTAGTTAAAACTTTCTTCCAGGGAGAAAAGAAAAGTTATTCATCTCCACTTCTGTGACTATATCTTAAGCCTGGATTTACCACCTCACATTCTTAGTACAAAGCCATACTTGTGTTCTCTACACTTCATCCATACTATTCAGATTTACCAGAATAATCACTTTCAAGCTTCATAGTGATTATATCTCTCTTGTTCATGAACATCTATTTGTATACAACAGGTTGACAGATGAAATATAAATCTATTAGCTTGGCACGCAATGGATTAGCATATACCGCCTTGGAAAAAAAAAATCATAATTTCCTTTAATTTGGACCTGAAAGTCTGAGAAAAACTGTAAGGGAGTAAGTGCAGAAGGAAGATAATTAAGTTTAGAAAACTTGAATATTTACTCTACTATAATGGAATAATGTGTACCACTTTATTAGAATGGGTATTCATAGGCATTGAACTATAAGATGATAACTACAGTAATTATCAGTTTGTTTGGTTTCTCTCTTGCATTTTTTTTCCTTAGGGAACAGTTCCTCCCTTACTTTCAGTTATGGCACAGAATTCTAGTTTTTGAAGTAGAGTATACCATATTTCTGAACACAAACACTGGCTCAGGGTTAGGTATAATGTCTCCTTTCTGACAATTTAGCCAGAACTATATAGAAAAGGATATTTCCTTTCTGAATTCACATAGAGTAAGAACATGGAATCCTGGAGATACAAGAAGCCATCTCTACATATATATATATATATATATATATATATATATGGAAAAAAAAGCTACCTGAATCCAGGAAAAAGAGCCAGGAGGAAGGGAAAAATATTTCTAATGAATTTTTTAGCAGCAAAATTCAGTTGTGCCTGGAACTATGTAGCTGAGTTGAAAAATTATCTGTATTTCTTTAAAGAAAGTTTGATTTGAGTTTTCATTATTTAACAACTATAAGACTATGAACAATTACTCTTATCTGTTATTAAACATCTCCTTAGGGTGACCCAATTCAAAGCATTAAAAATCATTCAGGATCGCGCCTGTAATCTCAGCATTTTGGGAGGACAGATCACCTGAGGTCAGGAGATTGAGACCATCCTGGCCAACATGGTGAAACCCTGTCTCTACTGAAAATACAAAAATTAGCTGGGTGTGGTGGCGTATGCCTGCAATTCCAGCTACTCAGGAGGCTGAGGCAGGAGAATTGCTTGAACCCCGGAGGCGGAGATTGCAGTGAGCCGAGATCGTGCCACTGCACTCCAGCCTGGCAACAGAGTGAGACTCGGTCTCAAAAAAACAAGCAAACAAAAAAATCATTCAGGGATATTTTCAGATAGTTTTAAACAATATGAAAATTTAATAAATTATGCTTGATATACTGTACTGTATTTAAAGCAATGTTAAGTAAAATTATCAAAACAAAGTTACAAGTGTTCATTCAATAAACATTTTATTTTTATCTATTTCTGGTTGCAATACTTTGTACTTCAAGTTTTTATTCAATTTAAATTGTATTATCCATTATTTTTAATTAATAGAATCATCAATCACTTGTCTGATCATTTTGTAAAGTGTAAAAATGTATGCTATAAAATATTTCTTGCAAAAAGGTATGCAAAACAATATCTCCCAACAAACCGTGCCCTCCCATTTGCCCAGTTCCATCCCCTCAAACAAATAGCTGGCCATTAATGCATTCTTACATAGATTTCCAAAGTTTTTTTTATATAAATACAAGTAGATCTGTTTGTATATTACCTATCCTATTTTCATACAACAGGTAGCATTGCACTGTGATTTATAGATTTATAGGACAGACGTCTTCCTTTAATTCTAAACCCATAGAGCTACCTGCCTAATTGACATTCGTGCTTGAATATATAATTGACACCTTAAAAGGAACTTTTCTAAAATTGACTCCTGACTTTCTCCCAAACCAGTTTTATCTCTAGTTGTCTTCATCTCAGTCACTGCTAACTTCATTCTACTTGCTCAGACAAGTGGTGTCACCTTTTCCTTTTTTCCCTTTCTCTTTCACATTAGTTCCAACAGCAAATCCCACTGGCACTACTACAAAATATATCCAGAAGTCAACTTCTGCTTGCCATTTCTACTTACCAGTACATACTGGTAAAAGCTACCATCACCTCTCCCCTGAATTACTGCATTCATTTCTTAGCTGGTCTCCCATCTGTCTAGCTCTCTGAAGTCTACTCTGAATACAGCAGCCAACGTCTTTACTCTTCATCTGTAAGAGCCTGCATCATCTGCACCCCATAATTAATTCTTTCACCTCATCTTTAATGATCTTGCTCTTGTTCTCATGTTCCAGTCCCATGGATTTTCTTTCTGTTCCTTTAACATACAAGACACTTCACTGACTCAATGTTTTCGCATGATTTTCTGTGCCTAGAATATTCCCCCCCCAAAACACCCAACATGATTGTTTCTTTATTTCCTTCAAGTCTTTGTCCAGAGTTTTCTTCTCATTGGGGTTTGTCTTGGCCACCTTGTTAAAATGTTAACGACCCACCCTGATAATCCATGCTCCTCTTGTCTTTACTTTTTCTTCTGAGCATTTATGTCTAACTTACTATAAATGTATTGTTTAACTTTTATCTCCTTTTTCTAGAAAGCAAATTTCAAAAGAGTAGAAAACTTTGCTTTATTAACTTCAATATTTCCTGCAATGTACGTCAATGTCTGTTACATGTTAGATGCTAAATGAATAACTCTGAGTAAATATTTTAATGAATGAATAACTTTGAGAGTTTTAATATCAATATATATACAATGTCCTAATTTCTTTAGTAGCTACATAGTATTCCATTGAGAAATATTTCATCATTTAATCTGTCCTCTACTAAATGATATTTAAAGATTTTTATATTACACTATTAGTAAAATTATTTAATAAACAAAAGTCTACAAAAACTTGTGAATTATGCTGTTTTTTGTTATCCTGGGGGCAATACAATCACTTTGCATTGATTCATAAATATGTGTAAAAGACTTTTCCTTTTCCCATGCCCTGAAATGTATCAATTAGCATTAACATTACCATTCTCTGCTCTAACAATTTGGCCAAATTATCAGGGACTGGTACTTTTTTGAGGAATAAGTCTTTGAAAAGTTTTACTAATTCTTCTGTAGAAATTATTTCATTAAGGTTTTCTATCTATACTGTAGTCAATTTTATAAACTATATTATCTTAGATAAACATTAATTTCAACCAGGTTTTCAAATGAAGTTACACAGAATTGAGCAATGTGATTTGATATAAAATTATGCATTAAATATTCTTTCTCTTTGTCATTATTTTCTATTTACCCATTTTTAAAGGTATTTTTTTCTCATTTTTATTGGCGATTTCATCAATTTCATGATTTTATTACATTATTTGCTTTAGTTTTTCTGTTGTCATACTGTTTAAATTCTGTTTTAGTTATCTTTAATCAATTTTCATTTTATTTTGTTACTTATTTTTAAATTTATAAATATTTGGGTTAGACAATCAATTTGTCTTTACATTGTTCTGTTTGCTCCATTGCTCTAGATATTGCAGGCTACGTATTTTCCTCTGAAATTTGCTTTAGAAAAATCTCAAATTCTTAAACATAGTGCTTTTATTTTCGTTTGCATTATTTCCTTGATATTTTGTGATGCTGGTTTATATTTACTCCATGAACTTATTTTGAAAAAATAGTACTAAAGTTTGTAGTTAATATGATGTTATTTTTTATTGTATTACTATTTTCAGTTTTATTGACTGGTTGTCACAGTATAATTTCTGTATATTTTTTCTTGATAGACATTGAAGTATTATCTGTGGTCTAATATGTAATCAATTTTTACTAATGCACTCTGAAAAAAATTATAACCTCAATTTTAGGGTACAAGTTTTACGTATACAATATATTGTATGTGTATACATTATATATATACACATATATACACATGCAAATCAAATTACATATATTAATTTATATGCATATATAAATCAGTATGTATTACATTTTTAAGTGATTTAATTCTATGTTATTATAGTTTTCCATTTGACCTCCTAAGAGAAAGAATTAAAATCAACTGTTATATATGTGATTTTGTTTTTCCTTTAATATTCTAAAGACTTTACTTATTATGATATAATACCAGTTACTTGATTTTATGTATTTTTTACTTTCTATGATATATCCCCAGAACTCCATTTATTCATTTGCTTGGGTGTTTTGCTTATCCTTCTAATTTCAATCTTTTTTTTTTTGAGTTGAAGTCTTGCTCTGTCACCCATGCTGGAGTACAGTGGCACAATTTCAGCTCACTGCATCCTCCACCTTCTGGGTTCAAGCGATTCTCCTGCTTCAGCCTCCCAAGTAACTGGGATTAACTATAGACATTCCTCACCACCCCCGGCTAAATTTTGTATTTTTAGTAGATACGGGGTTTCGCCATGTTGGTCAGGCCAGTCTTGAACTCCTGACCTCAAGTGATCTGCCCACCTTGGTCTCCCAAAATGCTGGGATTACAGGAGTGAGCCACGGTGCCTGGCCTCAAACTAATTTTATTAGGTATGTTTTGTATGGAATTTTTCTTTGTAAAATAATAGTAAATAATTTTTTGCAGGTGATTTTAGCCTGTTCGTGTTTATTAGCTTTTTCAATGTTAGGTCATACGATTTTTATGTCACATTAATTTTTAAAATTTTGTTGATTTTTTGTGTTTAGTTTTCTTTTTAATATGTACATTTTCTTACATGAAAAATATCAAATAGTGATATGTGGTTGTGGTGTTTTATCTTTATGACTGTGTCTTAATTTAAAGCCCTTAATCTTTTATTAACTATACATCAAGAAAAATCATACTTTTATTTTGTTTTCTCTAATGCTTTCTCCCCTCCCTCTCATCTAAATCTGGTTTTAGTCGTTAGTATTATTTTCATTATTATTTAGCTTTGCACTGCCAATGATACTTTCAGTTACATCATTTAATTTCTAGCTGCTTTGGATGATGTAATATTTTTTATTTATTCCCATTACTTTTCTTCCACATTTTTGATTTAGTTTAAATATTTCTGTATTCTGAAGCATACCATTTTTACACTTTTTGCTGTCACTCTATTCCTGTAATATAATTTAGAATGTATTCCACAATTTCACATATTTAATGCTCACAACTTCATCTTTCACATAATCTCCTGAGATTTCACATAAAGTTCCTCTTTTCATAGTTTTCTTAAGAAGTACCCCCAGAAAAAACATATTTGTAAGCTTCATGTATGTTCAGACTTTATAGCTGAAGAATATTTTTCTTGTATATGAAATTCATAATCCCACTTTGATCCCTTTAGTGCCTTGTGACTTTGTTCCTGTTTGTATTAGTTTGTTTTCACACTGCTAAAAAGAACTACCTGGGGCTTGATAATTTAAAAAAGAAAGAAGTATAATTGACTCACAGCTCTGCATGGGTGGGAAGGCCTCAGGAAACTTAAAATTATGACAGATGGCAAAAGAGAAGCAAGGCACATCTTACATGGCAGCAGGAAAGAGAGAGAAAGAGAGTGAGGAGGGGACTGTCAAACACTTTTAAACCACCACATCTCATGAGAACTCCTTCACTGTCACAAGAACAGCATGGGGGAAACCGCCCCCATGATCAAATCACCTCCCACCAGGTCTCTCCCTCAACATGTGGTGATTACAGTTCGAGATGAGATTTGGGTAGGGACACAGAGCCAAACTATATCACTGCCTTCTGGTATGTAAACTGCAAAGAATTCAGAGGCTAGCAAAATTCGATTTTTCTTCATAATAAACTTGAGATTGGGTTTTATTTCCAAAATAATCGTTTTCTTATTTTTGAAGTTAAGATGGATCTTGACATTGACAATCTGAGCCAATTCTCTTATTTCACTGTATTTTTTTAATATGTAAGTTTAAGCTCTGCTTCATTTCTGAAAACTTTCTTTGAATTATCATTTTAAATATTTGTTCTGTCTCATATTCTTCTGTGTGGGTTGTGGGGGTGTGGGGAATCTAGACAAAAGTAAACAGAGTTATATTTGACCAAACTTCTAAACCTATCATTTTTCTCTTCAAGAGCTTAACACTATTTTATTTTCAATTAATTTTTACTAAATTTATCATTTATATCTACCTGTCCCTTACTGAATTTTCTGCAGTGTCAATTATTTCTTACGATTTTTCCACCTTATCTCTCCTTTTCAACACAGCTTTCAGGATTTCGATCAGTCTTTATGTCATTACCTTCTGCTAAGTGGTTGCTTTTCTGCTTTGTGGTTGTAGTAATTAAACTCCCAATAAGAAACAGATGATCTACTCAAATGAGGTAACTGAGGAGAGTTTAATGAAAGGATTATTATACCAAGTGAATTAAGATGGTGAAGCACCTGAGGCTCACAACAGTAGAAGAAACATACTACCTAGGCCTAAAGGGATGGAACTCTTCTGAAACCCAGAGAAAACACTGGTAGCTCTAAGAGATGGCTACATAACAGGAGCTGTAACCTTTACTAGGGAGACACAGCACACGAGTGTCCTAGCTGGAAGGGAGCTAAGGAATAAATGTCCTCACCTTAATTTTCCCCTGCAAAGATTTCCAGCCAGTGCTCCCACCAAGCCCTGTGGCCAAACTCAATCTACAGAAGCAGAAAAGAACTGCTGAGTCAATTCACAAAGACCAGCCTCCATGGGTGCTGAACAGATTAGGGAAGAATGAAGCATGTGTCAGGAAGGGCAAATAGCAAATATCCAATGCAGATGTAATACTCAATCTACTGGTAAATTATTTTCTGCTCTATTTGTTGTTTTTCTTTTCCTGCTATCTTTTTATTTTGTCTACATTTATATTTATTAACTATGATACTGAGATGAGTTTTCCTAAGTGGAACTTGGAGAGAAGGTCATGCATTAGGTTGAACCGTAGGGAATTTATAGGTTTAACTGGTATAATAGAGGTGTCTTAATCTGCATGGGCTGCTACAGCAAAATACCATCAACTAGGTAGCTTATAAACAACAAAAACGTGTTTCTTACTGTGCAGGAGGCTGAAAAGTCTAAGATCTTGGTGCTGTCAGATGTGTTGTTTGCTGATGGCCTGCTTTCTGGTTCACAGATAGTAACTTCTTGCTGAGTCCTCACATGGTGGAAGAGATGAATGAGCTCCCTTTGGCTCTAGTCCCGTTCATAAAGACTCTGTCCTCATGACCTAATCACCTCCCAAAATGTTCTACCTTCCAACCAATCACCTTGGAGATTGAGATTTTAACAATTGAATTTTGGGGAGAACAAACATTCAGACCACAGCAATAGATATTATAATATGATTTGACATACAGAGACGAGTTTTCATAATTTTTTCCTCTCATGTGTACGGGATAGACTGCCACTTGCAAATGTGTCTTGGTGTCATAATTTTTGTTGGAACTCTGTTGCTGTTTCTTTTTTTAAAGCAAATTGGGTCCATTGCTTCTGCTGCCATTCTCTCTTACTAGAGTACTGCAACCCTACATTGCTAACAAAGGTGCATTTTTGTTTCCTGGGGTGTTTCATCTTTAGGAAATGTATTTTCTTCTAGTTCTTTTTGTTTTTGTAGGATATGTCCCCAAAATAACCAGCAGGCTGGGTGCAGTGGCTCATGCCTGTAATCCCAGCACTTTGGGAGGCTGAGGTGGGAGGATCACTTGAGATCAGGAGTTCCAGACTGGCCTGGACAACATGGCAAAACCCATCTCTACTAAAAAGACAAAAAATAGCCAAGCATAGTGGCGGGTACCTGTAGTCCCACCTACTTGGGAAGCTGAGGCAGGAGAATCACTTAAGCCCAGCCAGAGATTGGGAGGCTGAGTCAGGAGAATCACTTAAGCCCAGGAGGCAGAGATTGCCGTAAGCTGAGGTCGTGCCACTGCATTCCAGAATGGGCAACAGAGTGAGACCCTGAAAAAGAAAAGGAAGGAAGAAAGGAAGGAAGGAAGGAAGGAAGGAAGGAAGGAAGGAAGGAAGGAAGGAAGGAGAGAGAGAGAGAGAGAGAGAAAGAAAAGAAAAGAAAAGAGAAAAGAAAAGGAAGGAAGATGGAAGGAAGGAAGGAGAGAAAGAAAGAAGAAAGAAAGAAAAGAAAGAAAGAAAGAAAGAAAGAAAGAAAGAAAGAAAGAAAGAAAGAAAATTCATCAGCAAATATTCTCACTACTGAAATCTCTGTCCAAATTTTCTTCTTTACTTATTCCCACTGAGGTTACCCTTAATTCCAGTTGTTTTTGGAAATCTTTAGGTTTATTTTTTCATCTGTTTATTCAAAACATCCAAATGTTTTTAATACTGCCAATTTATACCACAGATAAATATATTTATGTACATATTATATTCAATATGTAAGCACTAGATTGATAGATCAATGAAAAGATAGATTTATAAATGATTGGATAGAATATATTGTTCATGTTATTAGATCATGAATTTGCTATGCCACAAAAATGCTACTTAACAAACTGCCTCAAAACATAGCTAAAAACAATAATACTTTATTTTTATATATGTACACTTTGGCTGAATGTTGGTTTACTTGGGCAGGGCAGTTCTGCTAATCTTGGGAGGATTTTCCCCTGTGACAAGAGATTGGCAAGTGGTGGGGGCTGTCAGCTAATCTAGGCTAGGCATGGTTGGGACACTGACTCTACCTAAAAAGTCTGTCTTCTTTCTAAGACTAGCACATTAGCCTAGGCTTGCTTCTTGGTTTGATTATTTCTTTGTTTTTTGACAATGACGGAGGCATGAGGGTGCAAATAAAAATCTAAATGGTATTTGAGGTCTTGACTCAATACTTGCTTATGGTCTTTTCTGTCTACTCTATATGGCCAAACAAAAATCCAAGGGTGAAATATGTCCCAGCCATGATGCACATACATGCCAACATACACGAAAAAGGAAATTTGCACAGGGAGGAATGAATAATTGGGGCCAATAATACAACTATCTACTCAGCTAGTAAACAACACAGCTGAGCCTTCCATGCCATTCCCACTTAAATGGAGTCTCAAGAAGCAAATACAGAAAACTCCTCTCTCTTGCAGCATAGCAGTAATAGAGAGCTCTTTTTACCAAGGATATCAGGTCAACAGGTCAACCATGTCTAAGAGACAGAGTTTTGAAAAAAGACATCTTTACATAGCCAAAACTGACATGGTATGATATAGTCAATGCATAGCTTTAAAACAACCAATGATCTAGCCATCCATATATTCAGCTACCTCTCTAACCAGACAGCCATAAAGAGTACCCTGAAATTCTAGTAATATTATTAAACTAATAACATATGAATAATTGAAAGGGCCTTTGTGTTCATTCTCTCCAGCCTTACATTAATATGAAAAAAATCAAGTTATAAAAAGGAAGTCTAATAATCAATTATTTAAGTGATTTAATGCAGAGGATAAATTTAACATTTTCTCTAGAGGAATTTGAGGAGAACTAGTGAAATTTCTCTTAATGCATTTCCACAAGAATAAAGTTCACCATAGGTTTAAACAGTTCTTATAGGGTTGGGTTTAACAACTAAACTCTGTGGTGTGTTCAGTGTACTGTATTTGTTGCTACATGAGACTTCTTTGTTCAGGTCTCAGGAAGTCTGCCTTTGCTCTTTAATTTTGCCAACAGGGAGATTGCAAGAAAGCATAACAGACCCTGTACAACGGTAAAGGGACAAAAGATTTTTATGACATATTCTTCTTGGCTAATCCCACAGAACAGATTTAGTCCTTCTCAGTAAAGATAAAGGAAGCTGTTGTTACCCATTATAAAGATTAAGGAAGCCTGCAGATATATAGATATAGATAAAGATATATAAAATTGCTATTATGAAAACATTAGCTGCCACATTAAAAGATTTTTTTTTAAAGTTAGAGTATCAGTCTATTAAAACTTACAGAAGATTTTTCTTAGAAGGTAGGTCAAAGGGTACGTATAGAAGAAACTAAATGAGCTTGCATTTTAATCTGAGGACTTTATGTGGAGTTCCACTAGGTGCATATGAAAGAACATGGAATTTTAAATTATCTTATTATGGAAATTAATCACTGTGCTACTTTCAAATTTAAACATTTGACCTAATGTCAAATAACCAATAATTATTTTTCTCTTATTTGACTTAATCATGTGAATTATCTACATGTTATTTCATAATGCATACTTCATCAGAATTTTCCTTCTTTCATGCACTTTTTTTTCGTATTTCCCTTGATTCATATGCTCCTATCACAGGAAGTGAACTGTGACAACCTATGGTACACACGAAATTGTAAAGTTATTGAATTCTGAATAATTTGAGTGAGAACTAAAACGGTTTTAAGGAACATCCTCAAAAGGCCTATTTGTTTTCCAAACAATAAAGTTTGAGAAAGTAGTACTTTAAAATTATTTTTCTATACAACTTATATATATGCATTACAGGTATTCATTTGTGTGCACATTTTATTAATGACTGAAGGGGAGGAGTTCTGTTTCCAGTATATATCAGTAAGCATCGATGTGTACCAAGTCCACTGCATGCACACACACACATCCATTCACACACACACACACACACACACCCATTCACAAACACATATTTCCCTGATAAATAGTAATAAATTATTGTTTCATATTACATAGGTAATTTCTTCTAAAAAATACTAGTAAAATCTGCAGACCTTGGGTAAAGGCATACAAGTACTATCAGGACACTGCCAGACTAGATGGTAGTTCTTAACATATATTGCTTAACCTGTCTGAGACACAATTTCTTCTGTGAAATGAGTGGGGCTGATTTTTCTTTCTAGTTTTAAAATTCCCAAGATAAAGCGTTTTGAAACAACAGCAAAAAGCAAGAAAAGGAAGTAGTCAAAAACTTCATTTCCATTATGCAGACATAAAGAACATTCTCAGTAAAGCCATCTCTTCCGTGGGTCTTCCACACCCTAGGAAGTCATCAGTGGCCTTCCTGTTGTAAGCATAAAACATAGTGCAGTTCAGCTTTTAGAGCCAACAATTGCAGTAAGTCTTTCTTTATACCTTCTTAAAATCATATTTTTATTTCCAACATTGTACTATTTTTTTATTTTTTAAGAAGCACATGTACCTCGAGTATTATTTCTATAATTTTCCCTTAAGTGGACTTTTTTTATTCCTTATGATTATTATTATTTTAATTTTTGTGGGTACATATTAAGTGTATATATTTATGGGGAACATGAAATGTTTTGATACAGGCATGTAATGTAAAATAAGCACATTTATCCTTTGAGTTACATGCAATCCAATTACATTCTTTAAGTTATTTTAAAATGTACAGTTACTATTGACTATAGTCACTCTAATGTGCTTTCAAATAGTAGGTTATTCATTACTTCTAATGGTATTTTTTATACCCATTAACCATCTCCACATTCCTCCCACCTCAGCTCCCTACTACCCTTCCCAGCCTCTGGTAACCACTCTTCTGCCCTATGACCAAGAGTTCAATTGTTTTGATCTTTAAATCCCACAAATAAGTGAGAACATTAGATGTTTGGTTTGTCTTTCTGTGCCTGGCTGCTTTCACTTAATCTAATGATCTCCAGTTCCATCCATGTTGCTGAAAATTACTGAATCTCATTCCTTTTTATGAATGAATAGTACTCCGTTGTGTATGTGTACGATATTTTATTTATTCATTCATCTGTTGATGGACACTTAGGTTGATTCAAAATCTTAGGTGGCTGGGCATGGTGGCTCACACCAGTAATTCCAGCACTTTGGGAGGCCGAGGCAGGTGAATCACGTGGTCAGGAGTTCAAGACCAGCCTGGCCAACATGGTGAAACCCTGTGTCTACTAAAAATACAAAAAATTAGCTGTGTGTGGTGGTGGGCGCCTGTAATCCCAGCTACTCAGAAGGCTGAGGCAAGAGATTTGCCTGAAGCCAGGAGGCAGAGGTTACAGTGAGCCAAGATCGTGCCACTGTACTCCAGCCTGGGTGACAGTGTGAGACTCTGTGTCAAAAAAAAAAAAAAAAAAAAATTAGCTATTGTAAATAGTGTTGCAACAAACATAGGAGTGCAGATATCTCTTCAATATACTGATTCCATTTCTTTTGGGTATGTATACAGCAGTAGGATTGTTGGATCGCATGGTAGCTTAATTTTGGTTTGGTGAGGAACCTTCAAACTGTTATACATGGCGGTTGTACTAACTTACACTTCCACCAACAGCATACAAGGGTTTCATTTTCTCCACATCCTCGTCAGCGTTTATTATTGCCTGCCTTTTGGATATAAGCCATTTTAGCTGGGGTGAGATAATATCTCATTATAATTTTGATTTGTATTCCTCTGATCAATGATGTTGAGCTCTTTTTCATATACCTGTTTTCCATTTGTATGTCTTTTTATGAGAAATGTCTAGCAATATTTTTTGCCCATTTTTGATCAGATTTTTAGATTTTTCTTCTATGGAGTTGTCTGAGGTTCTTATATCTTCTGGTTATCAATTTCTTGTCAGGTGGGTAGTTTTCAAATGTTTTCTCCAATTCTGTGTGTTGTCTCTTCAGTTGGTTGGTTATTTCCTTTGCAGAAACTTTTTAACTTAATGTGATACCATTTGCCCATTTTTGCTTTGGTTGTCTGTGCTTGTGGGGTATTGCTCAAAAAATATTTGCCCAGATCAATGTCCTGGGGATTTTCCCCAGTGTTTTCTTATAGTAGTTTTATAGATTGAGGTCATAGATTTAAGCCTTTAATCCATTTTGATTTGATTTTTTTATATGGCAAGGATACGGGTCTAGTTTCATTATTCTGCATATGGATAACCAGTTTTCCCAGCACCATTTATTGAAAAGACTGTCTTTTCCCCAGTGTATGTTCTTGACATCTTTGTCAAAAAATGAGTTCACTGTAGGTATTTGGATTTGTTTCTGATTTCTCTATTCTGTTCCATTGGCCAATGTGTCTGTTTTTATGCCAGTAGCATGCTGTTTGGGTTATTATAGTTCTGTAGTGTAGTTTGATGTCAGGTAATGTGACTCCTCCAGTTTTGTTCTTTTTCCTTAGGACAGCTTTGGCTATTCTAGGTCTTTTGTGGTTCCATATAAATTTTAGGATTTTTCTTCTATTTTTGTCAAGCATGTCATTGGTATTTTGATAGGGATTTAAATTAAATGAATCTGTAGATTGTTTTGGTTCATAAGGACATTTTAACAATATTGACTCTTTCAATCCATTAATGTGGATTTTTTTTTCATTTTCAATATCCTTTTTAATTTCATTTATAGTTTTCATTATAGTGATCTTTCCCTTCTTTGGTTAAGTTAATTCCAAGGTATTTAACTTTATGTGGCTTTATATCTTCCTCTTGTCTGATTGCTCCAGCTAGGACCTATAGTACTGTCTTGAAAAGTAGTGGTAACAGTGGGCATCCTTGTCATGTTCAAGATCCTAGAGGAAAGGCTTTTAGCTTTTTCCCCATTCAGTGTGATACTAGCTGTGGATCTGTCATATATGGCTTTTATTTTGTTGAGGTATGTTTTTTTCTATCTCCAGTTTTCTTTTGAGGTTTTAATTATGAAGGGAAGTTGAATTTTATCAAATGCATTCTCAGCATCAACAAATGATCATATGGATTTTATTCTTCATTCTATTGATATAACATATCACATTGATTGATTTGCATATGTTAAACAATCCTTGCATCCCAGGGATATATCCCACTTGGTCATCATGAATGATCTTTCTAATGTTGAATTCCATTTGTTGGCATTTTGTTGAGAATTTTTGCATCAATATTCATCAGAGATTAGTTTTCTTTTTTTTATGTGTCTTTGTCTGATTTTGGTATCAGGGTAATACTGACCTCATACAATGAGTTTGGCAGTATTCTCTCCTCCCTTATTTCTCAGAATAGTTTGTATAGAACTGGTATTAGTTCTTCTTTAAATGTTTGGTAGAATTCAACAATGAAGTCATTGGGTGCTGGGCTTTTCTTTACTGGTAGCCTTTTTGTTATGGCTTTTATCTCATTACTTGTTATTGATATGTTCAGGTTTTGGATTTTTTTCCTGGTTCAATCTTGGTAGGTTATATGTATTCAGGAATTTGTCTATTTCTTCTAGATTTTCCAATTTATTGTTACATAGATGCTCATAGTAGCCATTAATGATTCTTCAAATTTCTCCAGTATCTGTTGTAATATCTCCTTTTTCATTTCTGATTTTATTTATTTGAATCTTCTCTCTTATTTTTCTTAGTCAGTCTGGGTAGAGGTTTGTCAATTTTTTTCTTAGTCAGCCTGGCTGGTGGTTTGTCAATTTTGTTTATGTTTTCAAAAAACCAACTTTTTGTTTTCTTGATCTTTTTAATTTTTTTATTTAAATTTCAGCTTCATTAATTTTTGCTCTCATCATTATTCATTTTCTTCTGATAATTTTGGGTTTTGGCTTTTCTAGTTATTTAAGATGCATTATTAGATTGTTCATTTGAAATTTTTCCTCTCTTTTGATGTAGGCACTTATAGCTGTAAATTTCCATCTTAGTACTGCTTTTGCTGTATCTCACACATTTTAGTATATTGTGTTTCCCCTATCATTTGTTTCAATAATTTTTTTTAATTTTCAATACTTTTTTTTAAATTTTCTTCTTAATTTCTTCATTGACTCACTGGTAATTCAGGAGAATATCACTTAATTTCCTTGTATTTGTATAGTTTCCAACATTTCTTTTGATACTAATATTTAGTTTTATTCCATTGTGGTTAAAGAAGATGCCTGATATTATTTCGATTTTTGAATATTTTAATACTGATTCGTGATCTAACGTATGATCTATCATTGAGAATGATCCATGTGCTGAGAAAAAGAATGTGTATTTTGCAGCTCTTGGATGAAGTGTTCTCTAAATATCTATTAGATCCATTTGGTCTACAGAACATATTAAGTCTGATGTTTCTTTGTTGACTTTCTGCCTAGAAGATCTGTCAAATGCTGCAAGTGGGATGTTGAAGTCTCCAGCTATTATTGTATTGGACCTTTTCTCTCTCTTTAGCTCTAATAATATTACCTTTATATATCTGTTTGTGCCTATGTTGGGTGTATATATATTTAAAATTGTTATATCATCTTGCTGAATTGGCCCCTTTGTCATTATAGTGAACTTCTTTGTGTCTTCTTGTAGTTTTTGTCTTCAAATCTATTTTGACTGATATAACTATAGTGACTCCTGCTTTTTTTTGTCTCCATTGACATGGAATATCTTTTCCATCCCTTTATTTTCAGTCTAAGTGTTTCTTGATAGCTGAAGTATGTTTCTTGCAGGCAACATATTCATGGGTCTTGTTTATTCATCCATTCAGCCAGTCCATGTCTTTTGAGTGGAGAGTTTAGTTCATCTACATTCAATGTTATCGCTGATAAGTAAGGACTTATTCGTGCCATTCTGCTATTTGTTTTCTGGTTGTTTTATGGTCTGCTCATCCTTTTTTCTTTCCTTCTTGTCCTTCTCTAATGAAGGTGATTTTCTCTGGTGATGTGATTTAGTTTCCTGCTTTTAATTTTTTGTTTATCCATGGTATGTTTTTGGTTTGAGGTTACCAGTAGGCTTGTACATGCTATCTTATAACCCACTATTTTAATCGGTAAACAACCTAACTCTATTTGCATAAACAAACAAGTGGGCAAAAAATAAATAAATTAATAAAACACTCTACACCTCTATTTCACACTGCTATAAAGAACTACCTGAGAATGAGTAATTTATAAAGAATAGAGGGTTTAATTGACTCTCAGTTCTGCATGACTGGGGAAGCTTCAGGAAACTTAAAATCATTGTGGAAGGGGAAGCAAGGTACATCTTACATGGTGGCAGGTGAAAGAGAGCAAGGTGGGAAGTGCCACACTTTAAAACCATCAGCTTTCATGAGAACACTCACTATTATGAGAACAGCAAGGGAAAAATTCACCACCATCATCCAGTCATCTCCCACCAGGCCCCTCCTCCACCACATGGGGATTACAATTCTAGATGAGATTTGGGTGGGGACACAGAGCCAAACCATATCAGTGCCTTAACTTCATCCCCCACTTTTTAACTTTTTGTTGTTTCTATTTATATCTTATTGTACTGACTATGCCTTGAAAACTTGAGGTAGTTTTGATTTTTGATTGGTTCATTTATTACTCTTTCTGTTTAGGATGAGAGTAGCTTACACACCACAGTTACAGAGTTATAATATTCTGTTTTACTGTGTGCACTTACTATTACCAGTGAGTTTTGTGTTATACCTTCAGGTGACTATTTATTGTTCATTAATGTCATTTTCTTTCTAATTAAAGTACTAACTGTAGCATTTCTTGTAGAACAGGTCTGGTATTGATGAAATCCCTCTGCTTTTGTTTGTCTGAGAAAGTCTATTTCTCCTTCATGTTTGTAGGATATTTTCTCCAGATATACTGTTCTAGGGTAAAAGTTTTTTTCCCTTCAGTGCCACTCTCTCCTGGCCTGTAAGGTTTCCACTGTAAAGTCTGTTGCCAGATGTATTGGAGCTCCATTGTATGTTATTTGTTTATGTTATCATGTTGCTTTTAGCA